>NC_000005.10:49721303-49890555 GCF_000001405.40 Homo sapiens
AGCACTCTCAGAAACTTCTTTAGGATGTTTACAGTAAACTCACAGAGTTGAACATACCTTTCCGTAGAGCAGTTTTGAAACACTCTGTTTGTGGGATCCGCAAGTGGATATTTGGACCGCTTTGAGACCTTTGCTGGAAATGGGAATATCTTCACATATAAACTAGACAGAAGCATTCTCAGAAACTTCTTGGTGATGGGTGCATTGTACTCCCTAATTTGAATCTTCCTTCTCATGGAGCAGTTTTGAAACACTCTGTTTGTGCAATCTACAATTGGAGAATTGGAACGCTTGGATGCCCGTGGTAGAAAAGGAAATATCCTCATATAAAAACTAGACAGAAGGATTCACAGAAAATGCTTGGGGATGTGTGCATTCAAATCACGGAGTTGAATCTTTCTTTTGTTAGAGCAGTTTTGAAACACTGTTTCTGTGGAATCTGCCAGCGGACACTTGGAGCGCTTTGAGGGCTATGGTGGAGAAGGAAATATCTTCACATAAAAACTAGAAAGAAGCATTCTCAGAAACATTTATGTGAAGCGTGCATTCAACTCACAGAGTTGAACCTTCCTTTTGATAGAACAGTTTTGAAACACTCTTTTGAACAATTGCAGGTGAATCTTTGAGCGCTTTGAAGCCTTTGTTGGAAATGGGAATATCTTCACACACAAACTAGCCAGAAGCATTCTCAGAAACTTCTTTGTGATGTGTGCGTTGAACCCAGAGAGATGAACCTTTCCTTCGATAGAGCAGTTTTGAAACGCGTTTTTGTAAGATCGGCAAGCGGATAATTGGCTTCGCTTTTTGTCCTTTGGTGGAAACGGGAATATCTTCTAATAAAAACTAGACAGAAATATTCTCAGAATCTTCTTTGTGATGTGGGCATTCAACTAACACAGTTGAACCTTTCTTTTCACAGAGCAGTTTTGAAACACCCTTTTGGTAGAATCTGCCAGTGGATATTTGGAGCGCTTTGAGGGCTATTGTGCCAATGGAAATATCTGCCCCTAAAAACTAGACAGAAAGCATTCTCAGAAACTGCTTTGTGATGTTTGCATTCAACTCACAGAGTTGAACCTACCTTTTCATAGAGCAGTTTTGAAAACCTCTTTTTGTAGAATCTGCAAGAGGATATTCGGACCACTTTGAGGCCTTCATAGGAAACAGTAATATCTTCACATAAAAACTAGATAGAAGCATTGTCAGGAAGTTCTTTGTGATGTGTGAATTCAACTCACAGAGTTGAACCTTCCTTTAATAGAGCAGTGTTGAAACACTCTTTTTCTAGAATCTGCAAGTAGATATTTGGAGCGCTTGGAGGCCTTCGTTGGAAACCGGAATATCTTCACAGGAAATGTAGATAGAGTCATTCTCAGAAACTTTTTTGTGATATGTAGATTCAACTCACAGCGTTGAACCTTTCTTTTGATAGAGCAGTTTTGAAAAACTCTTTTATCGAGTCTGCAAGTAGACATTTGGAGTGCTTTGAGGGCTGTGGTCGAAAAGGAAATATCTTCACATAGAAACTAGACTGAAGCATTCTCAGCAACTTCTTTGTGACGTTTGCATTCATCTCACAGTGTTGAACATACCTTTCCGTAGAGTAGTTTTGAAACACTGTTTTTGTAGAATCGGCAAGTGGATATTTGGACTGCTTTGAGGCCTTCATCGGAAACGGGAATATCTTCACATAAACACTAGAGAGAAGCATTCTGAGAAACTTCTTTGTGATCTATCCATTCAACTCACAGAGTTGAACCTTCCTTTTTATGGAGCAGTTTTGAATCACTGTTTTTGGAGTATCTGCAAGTGGATATTTGGAGCGCTTTGAGGCCTATGGTAGAAAAAGAAATATCTGCCTCTAAAAACCAGACAGAAGCATTCCGAGAAACTTCTCTGTGATGTTTGCATTCAACTAGCAGAGTTGAACCTTCCTCTTGATAGGGCAGTTTGGAAACACTCTTTTTGTAGAATCTGCATGTGGATATCTGGAGTGGTTTGAGGCCTACGGTCAAAAATGTAATCTCTTCCTGGGAAAAATAGACGAAAGCATTCTCAGAAACTGCTTTGTGATATGTGCATTCGACTCACCGAGTTGAAACTTTTTTTTGATAGAGCAGTTTTGAAACACTCTGTAGAATCTGAAAGTGTATATTTGGAACTATTTGAGGGCTATGGCGAAAAAGAAAATATATTCACATTAAACTAGACAGCAGCATTCCCAGAAACTTCTTTAGGATGTTTTCAGTAAACTCACAGAGTTGAACATACCTTTCCGTAGAGCAGTTTTGAAACACTCTGTTTGTGGGATCCGCAAGTGGATATTTGGACCCCTTTGAGACCTTTGCTGGAAACGGGAATATCTTCACATATAAACTAGACAGAAGCATTCTCAGAAACTTCTTCGTGATGTGTGCATTCTACTCCCGAATTTGAATCTTCCTTTTCATGAAGCAGTTTTGAAACACACTGTTTGTGCAATCCACAATTGGATAATTGGAACGCTTTGATGCCCATGGTAGAAAAGGAAATATCCTCATATAAAAACTAGACAGAAGGATTCACAGAAAATGCTTTGTGATGTGTGCATTCAAATCACGGAGTTGAATCTTTCTTTTGTCAGAGCAGTTTTGAAACACTGTTTCTGTGGAATCTGCCAGCGGACACTTGCAGCGCTTTGAGGGCTATGGTGGAGAAGGAAATATCTTCCCATAAAAACTAGAAAGAAGCATTCTCAGAAACATTTATGTGAAGCGTGCATTCAACTCACAGAGTTGAACCTTCCTTTTGATACAACAGTTTTGAAACACTCTTTTGAACAATTGCAGGTGAATCTTTGGAGCGCTTTGAAGCCTTTGTTGGAAATGGGAATATCTTCACACATAAACTAGCCAGAAGTATTCTCAGAAACTTCTTTGTGATGTGTGCGTTGAACCCAGAGAGATGAACCTTTCCTTTGATAGAGCAGTTTTGAAACGTGTTTTTGTAAGATCTGCAAGCGGATAATTGGCTTCGCTTTGTGTCCTTTGGTGGAAACGGGAATATCTTCTAATAAAAACTAGACAGAAAAATATTCTCACAATCGTCTTTGTGATGTGGGCATTCAACTAACACAGTTGAACATTTCTTCTCACAGAGCAGTTTTGAAACACTCTTTTGCTAGAATCTGCCAGTGGATACTTGGAGGGCTTTGAGGGCTATTGTGCCAATGGAGATATCTTCCCCTAAAAACTAGACAGAAGCATTCTCAGAAACTACTTCGTGATGTTTGCATTCAACACACAGAGTTGAACATACCTCTTCACAGAGCAGTTTTGAAAACCTCTTTCTGTAGAATCTGCAAGTGGATATTCGGACCACTTTGAGGCCTTCACAGGAAACAGTAATATCTTCACATAAAAACTAGATAGAAACATTGTCAGAATGTTCTTTGTGATGTGTGAATTCAACTCACAGAGTTGAACCTTCCTTTAATAGAGCAGTTTTGAAACACTCTTTTTCTAGAATCTGCCAGTAGATATTTGGAGCGCTTTGAGGCCTTCGTTGGAAACCGGAATATCTCCACATAAAAAGTAGATAGAGGCATTCTCAGAAACTTTTCTGTGAAATGTAGATTCAACTCACAGCGTTGAACCTTTCTTTGGATGGAGCAGTTTTGAAAAACCCTTTTATCGAATCTGCAGGTAGACATTCGGGGTGCTTTGAGGGCTGTGGTGCAAAAGGAAATGTCTTCCCATAGAAACTAGACTGAAGCATTCTCAGCAACTTCTTGGTAACGTTTGCATTCATCTCACAGTGTTGAACATACCTTTCCATAGAGTGGTTTTGAAACACTGTTTTTGTAGAATCGGCAAGTGGATATTTGGACTGCTTTGAGGCCTTCATCGGAAACGGGAATATCTTCACATAAACACTAGAGAGAAGCATTCCCAGAAACTTCTTTAGGATATTTGCAGTAAACTCACAGAGTTGAACATACCTTTTTATGGAGCAGTTTTGAAACACTGTTTTTGGAGAATCTGCAAGTGGATATTTGGAGCGCTTTGAGGCCTATGGTAGAAAAAGAAATATCTGCCTATGACAACAAGACAGAAGCATTCTGAGAAACTTCTTTGTGATGTTTGCATTCAACTACCAGAGTTGAATCTTCCTTTTGATAGGGCAGTTTGGAAACACTCTTTTTGTAGAATCTGCATGTGGATATCTGGAGCGATTTGAGGCCTATGGTCAAAATGGAAATATCTTCCTGGGAAAAATAGACGAAAGCATTCTCAGAAACTGCTTTGTGATATGTGCATTCGACTCACCGAGTTGAAACTTTTTTTGGATAGAGCAGTTTTGAAACACTCTGTAGAATCTGAAAGTGGATGTTTGGAGCTCTTTGAGGGCTATGGCGGAAAAGAAAATATATTCACATTAAACTAGACAGCAGCATTCTCAGAAACTTCTTTAGGATGTCTGCAGTAAACTCACAGAGTTGAACATACCTTTCTGTAGAGCAGTTTTGAAACACTCTGTTTGTGGGATCCGCAAGTGGATATTTGGACAGCTTTGAGATCTTTGCTGGAAATGGGAATATCTTCACATATAAACTAGACAGAAGCATTCTCAGAAACTTCTTCGTGATGTGTGCATTCTACTCCCGAATTTGAATCTTCCTTTTCATGAAGCAGTTTTGAAACACTCTGTTTGTGCAATCCACAGTTGGATAATTGGAACGCTTTGATGCCCATGGTAGAAAAGGAAATATCCTCATATAAAAACTAGACAGAAGCATTCACAGAAAATGCTTTGTGATGTGTGCATTCAAATCACGGAGTTGAATGTTTCTTTTGTTAGAGCAGTTTTGAATCACTGTTTCTGTGGAATCTGCCAGCGGACACTTGGAGCGCTTTGAGGGCTATGGTGGAGAAGGAAATATCTTCACATAAAAACTAGAAAGAAGCATTCTAGGAAACATTTATGTGAAGCGTGCATTCAACTCACAGAGTTGAACCTTCCTTTTGATAGAACAGTTTTGAAACACTCTTTTGAACAATTGCAGGTGAATCTTTGGAGCGCTTTGAAGCCTTTGTTGGAAATGGGAATATCTTCACACACAAACTAGCCAGAAGTATTCTCAGAAACTTCTTTGTGATGTGTGCGTTGAACCCAGAGAGATGAACCTTTCCTTTGATAGAGCTGTTTTGAAACGTGTTTTTGTAAGATCTGCAAGCGGATAATTGGCTTCGCTTTGTGTCCTTTGGTGGAAACGGGAATATCTTCTAATAAAAACTAGACAGAGATATTCTCAGAAACTTCTTTGTGATGTGGGCATTCAACTAACGCAGTTGAACATTTCTTTTCACAGAGCAGTTTTGAAACACTCTTTTGGTCGAATCTGCCAGTGGATATTTGGAGCGCTTTGAGGGCTATTGTGCCAATGGAAATATCTGCCCCTAAAAACTAGACAGAAGCATTCTCAGAAACTACTTCGTGATGTCTGCATTCAACACACAGAGTTGAACATACCTCTTCACAGAGCAGTTTTGAAAACCTCTTTCTGTAGAATCTGCAAGTGGATATTCGGGCCACTTTGAGGCCTTCATAGGAAACAGTAATATCTTCACATAAAAACTAGATAGAAGCATTGTCAGAAAGTTCTTTGTGATGTGTGAATTCAACTCACAGAGTTGAACCTTCCTTTAATAGAGCAGTTTTGAAACACTCTTCTTCTAGAATCTGCAAGTAGATATTTGGAGCGCTTTGAGGCCTTCGTTGGAAACCGGAATATCTTCACATAAAAAGTAGATAGAGGCATTCTCAGAAACTTTTTTTTGATATGTAGATTCAACTCACAGCGTTGAACCTTTCTTTGGATGGAGCAGTTTTGAAAAACTCTTTTTTCGAATCTGCAGGTAGACATTTGGGGTGCTTTGAGGGCTGTGGTGCAAAAGGAAATGTCTTCCCATAGAAACTAGACTGAAGCATTCTCAGCAACTTCTTTGTGACGTTTGCATTCATCTCACAGTGTTGAACATACCTTTCCATAGAGTAGTTTTGAAACACTATTTTTGTAGAATCTGCAAGTGGATATTTGGACTGCTTTGAGGCCTTCATCGGAAACGGCAATATCTTCACATAAACACTAGACAGAAGCATTCTCAGAAACTTCTTTGTGATCTGTCCATTCAACTCACAGAGTTGAAACTTCCTTTTTATGGAGCAGTTTTGAAACACTGTTTTTGGAGAATCTGCAAGTGGATATTTGGAGAGATTTGAGGCCTATGGTAGAAAAAGGAATATCTACCTCTAAAAACTAGACAGAAGCATTCCGAGAAACTTCTCTGTGATGTTTGCATTCAACTAGCAGAGTTGAACCTTCCTTTTGATAGGGCAGTTTGGAAACACTCTTTTTGTAGAATCTGCATGTGGATATCTGGAGCGGTTTGAGGCCTACGGTCAAAAAGGCAATAAGTTCCTGGGAAAAATAGACGAAAGCATTCTCAGAAACTGCTTTGTGATATGTGCATTCGAATCACCGAGTTGAAACTTTTTTTTCATAGAGCAGTTTTGAAACACTCTGTAGATTCTGAAAGTGGCTATTTGGAGGTCTTTGAGGGCTATGGCGGAAAAGAAAATATATTCACATTAAACTAGACAGCAGCATTCTCAGAAACTTCTTTAGGATGTTTGCAGTAAACTCACAGAGTTGAACATACCTTTCCGTAGAGCAGTTTTGAAACACTCTGTTTGTGGGATCCGCAAGTGGATATTTGGACCGCTTTGAGAACTTGGCTGGAAATGGCAATATCTTCACGTATAAACTAGACAGAAGCATTCTCAGAAACTTCTTCGTGATGTGTGCATTCTACTCCCAAATTTGAATCTTCCTTTTCATGAAGCAGTTTTGAAACACTCTATTTGTGCATTCTACAATTGGATGATTGGAACGCTTTGATGTCCATGGTAGAAAAGGAAATATCCTCATATAAAAACTAGACAGAAGGATTCACAGAAAATGCTTTGTGATGTGTGCATTCCATTCACGGAGTTGAATCTTTCTTTTGTTAGAGCAGTTTTGAAACACTGTTTCTGTGGAATCTGCCAGCGGACACTTGGAGCGCTTTGAGGGCTATGGTGGAGAAGGAAATATCTTCCCATAAAAACTAGAGAGAAGCATTCTCAGAACCATTTATGTGAAGCGTGCATTCAACTCACAGAGTTGAACCTTCCTTTTGATAGAACAGTTTTGAAACACTCTTTTGAACAATTGCAGGTGAATATTTGGAGGGCTTTGAAGCCTTTGTTGGAAATGGGTATATCTTCACACACAAACTAGCCAGAAGCATTCTCAGAAACTTCTTTGTGATGTGTGCGTTGAACCCAGAGAGACGAACCTTTCCTTTGATAGAGCAGTTTTGGAATGTGTTTTTGTAAGATCTGCAAGCGGATAATTGGCTTCGCTTTGTGTCCTTTGGTGGAAACGGGAATATCTTCTAATAAAAACTAGACAGAAATATTCTCACAATCGTCTTTGTGATGTGGGCATTCAACTAACACAGTTGAACATTTCTTCTCACAGAGCAGTTTTGAAACACTCTTTTGCTAGGATCTGCCAGTGGATACTTGGAGCGCTTTGAGGGCTATTGTGCCAATGGAGATATCTTCCCCTAAAAACTAGACAGAAGCATTCTCAGAAACTACTTTGTGATGTTTGCATTCAACTCACAGAGTTGAACATACCTCTTCATAGAGCAGTTTTGAAAACCTCTTTTTGTAGAATCTGCAAGTGGATATTCGGACCACTTTGAGGCCTTCATAGGAAACAGTAATACCTTCACATAAAAATTAGATAGAAGCATTGTCAGAAAGTTCTTTGTCATGTGTGAATTCAACTCACAGAGTTGAACCTTCCTTTAATAGACCAGTTTTGAAACACTCTTTTTCTAGAATCTGCAAGTAGATATTTGGAGTGCTTTGAGGCCTTCGTTGGAAACCGGAATATCTTCACATAAAACGTAGATAGAGGCATTCTCAGAAACTTTTTTGTGATATGTAGATTCAACTAACAGCGTTGAACTTTTCTTTTGATACAGCGGTTTTGAAAAACTCTTATATCGAATCTGCAAATAGATATTTGGAGTGCTTTGAGAGCTGTGGTGCAAAAGGAAATGTCTTCCCATAGAAACTAGACTGAAGCATTCTCAGCAGCTTCTTTGTGACGTTTGCATTCATCTCACAGTGTTGAACATACCTTTCCATAGAGTAGTTTTGAAGCACTATTTTTGTAGAATCTGCAAGTGGATATTTGGACTGCTTTCAGGCCTTCATCGGAAACGGGAATATCTTCACATAAACACTAGACAGAAGCATTCTCAGAAACTTCTTTGTCATCTGTCCATTCAACTCACAGAGTTGAACCTTCCTTTTTATGGAGCAGTTTTGAAACACTCCTTTTGGAGAATCTGCAAGAGGATATTTGGAGCGCTTTGAGGCCTATGGTAGAAAAAGAAATATCTGCCTCTAAAAACCAGACAGAAGCATTCTGAGAAACTTCTTTGTGATGTTTGCATTCAACTACCAGAGTTGAACCTTCCTTTTGATAGGGCAGTTTGGAAACACTCTTTTTGTAGAATCTGCATGTGGATATCTGGAGCGATTTGAGGCCTACGGTCCAAAAGGAAATATCTTCCTGGGAAAAATAGATGAAAGCATTCTCAGAAACTGCTTTGTGATATGTGCATTCGACTCACCGAGTTGAAACTTTTTTTGGATAGAGCAGTTTTGAAACACTCTGTAGAATCTGAAAGTGGATATTTGGAACTCTTTGAGGGCTATGGCGGAAAAGAAAATATATTCACATTAAACTAGACAGCAGCATTCCCAGAAACTTCTTTAGGATGTTTGCAGTAAACTCACAGATTTGAACATACCTTTCCGTAGAGCAGTTTTGAAACACTCTGTTTGTGGGATCCGCAAGTGGATATTTGGACCGCTTTGAGACCTTTGCTGGAAACGGGAATATCTTCACATGTAAACTGGACAGAAGCATTTTCAGAAACTTCTTCGTGATGTGTGCATTCTATTCCCAAATTTGAATCTTCCTTTTCATGAAGCAGTTTTGAAACACTCTGTTTGTGCAATCCACAATTGGATAATTGGAAAGCTTTGATGCCCATGGTAGAAAAGGAAATATCCTCATATAAAAACTAGACAGAAGGATTCACAGAAAATGCTTTGTGATGTGTGCATTCAAATCACGGAGTTGAATCTTTCTTTTGTCAGAGCAGTTTTGAAACACTGTTACTGTGGAATCTTCCAGCGGACACTTGGAGCGCTTTGAGGGCTATGGTGGAGAAGGAAATATCTTCACATAAAAACTAGAAAGAAGCATTCTCAGAACCATTTATGTGAAGCGTGCATTCAACTCACAGAGTTGAACCTTCCTTTTGATAGAACAGTTTTGAAACACTCTTTTGAACAATTGCAGGTGAATATTTGGAGGGCTTTGAAGCCTTTGTTGGAAATGGGAATATCTTCACACACGAACTAGCCAGAAGCATTCTCAGAAACTTCTTTGTGATGTGTGCGTTGAACCCAGAGAGATGAACTTTTCCTTTGATAGAGCAGTTTTGAAACGTGTTTTTGTAAGATCGGCAAGTGGATAATTGGCTTCGCTTTGTGTCCTTTGGTGGAAACGGGAATATCTTCTAATAAAAACTAGACAGAAATATTCTCAGAATCTCCTTTGTGATGTGGGCATTCAACTAACACAGTTGAACATTTCTTTTCACAGAGCAGTTTGGAACACTCTTTTGGTAGAATCTGCCAGTGGATATTTGGAGCGCTTGGAGGGCTATTGTGCCAATGGAAATATCTGCCCCTGAAAACTAGACAGAAGCATTCTCAGAAACTACTTCGTGATGTTTGCATTCAACACACAGAGTTGAACATACCTCTTCACAGAGCAGTTTTGAAAACCTCTTTCTGTAGAATATGCAAGTGGATATTCGGACCACTTTGAGGCCTTCATTGGAAACAGTAATATCTTCACATAAAAACTAGATAGAAACATTGTCAGAAAGTTCTTTGTGATGTGTGAATTCAACTCACAGAGTTGAATCTTCCTTTAATAGAGCAGTTTTGAAACACTCTTTTTCTAGAATCTGCCAGTAGATATTTGGAGCGCTTTGAGGCCTTCGTTGGAAACCGGAATATCTTCACATAAAAAGTAGATAGAGGCATCTCAGAAACTTTTTTGTGATATGTAGATTCAACTCACAGCGTTGAACCTTTCTTTGGATGGAGCAGTTTTGAAAAACTCTTTTATCGAATCTGCAGGTAGACATTTGGGGTGCTTTGAGGGCTGTGGTGCAAAAGGAAATGTCTTCCCATAGAAACTAGACTGAAGCATTCTCAGCAACTTCTTTGTGACGTTTGCATTGATCTCACAGTGTTGAACATACCTTTGCATAGAGTAGTTTTGAAACACTATTTTTGTAGAATCTGCAAGTGGATATTTGGACTGCTTTGAGGCCTCCATCGGAAACGGGAATATCTTCACATAAACACTGGACAGAAGCATTCTCAGAAACTTCTTTGTGATCTGTCCATTCAACTCACAGAGTTGAACCTTCCTTTTTATGGAGCAGTTTTGAAACACTGTTCTTGGAGAATCTGCAAGTGGATATTTGGAGCGCTTTGAGGCCTGTGGTAGAAAAAGAAATATCTGCCTCTAAAAACTAGACAGAAGCATTCTGAGAAACTTCTTTGTGATGTTTGCCTTCAACTACCAGAGTTGAACCTTCCTTTTGATAGGGCAGTTTGGAAACACTCTTTTTGTAGAATCTGCATGTGGATATCTGGAGCGAATTGAGGCCTACCGTCCAAAAGGAAATATCTTCCTGGGAAAAATAGACGAAAGCATTCTCAGAAAGTGCTTTGTGATATGTGCATTCGACTCACCGAGTTGAAACCTTTTTTTGATAGAGCAGTTTTGAAACACTCTGTAGAATCTGAAAGTGGATATTTGGAGCTCTTTGAGGGCTATGGCGGAAATGAAAATATATTCACATTAAAGTAGACAGCAGCATTCCCAGTAAACTTCTTTAGGATGTTTGCAGTAAACTCACAGAGTTGAACATACCTTTCCGTAGAGCAGCTTTGAAACACTCTGTGTGTGGGATCCGCAAGTGGATATTTGGACCGCTTTGAGACCTTTGCTGGAAACGGGAATATCTTCACATATAAACTGGACAGAAGCATTCTCAGAAACTTCTTCGTGATGTGTGCATTCTCCTCCCGAATTTGAATCTTCCTTTTCATGAAGCAGTTTTGAAACACTCTGTTTGTGCAATCCACAATTGGATAATGGGAACGCTTTGATGCCCATGGTAGAAAAGGAAATATCCTCATATAAAAACTAGACAGAAGGATTCACAGAAAATGCTTTGTGATGTGTACATTCAAATCACAGAGTTGAATCTTTCTTTTGTCAGAGCAGTTTTGAAACACTGTTTCTGTGGAATCTGCCAGCGGACACTTGGAGCGCTTTGAGGGCTATGGTGGAGAAGGAAATATCTTCCCATAAAAACTAGAGAGAAGCATTCTGAGAACCATTTATGTGAAGCGTGCGTTCCTCTCACAGAGTTGAACCTTCCTTTTGATAGAACAGTTTTGAAACACTCTTTTGAACAATTGCAGGTGAATATTTGGAGGGCTTTGAAGCCTTTGTTGGAAATGGGAATATCTTCACACACAAACTAGCCAGAAGCATTCTCAAGAAACTTCTTTGTGATGTGTGCGTTGAACCCAGAGAGATGAACCTTTCCTTGGATAGAGCAGTTTTGAAACGTGTTTTTGTAAGATCTGCAAGTGGATAATTGGCTTCGCTTTGTGTCCTTTGGTGGAAACGGGAATATCTTCTAATAAAAACTAGACAGAAATATTCTCAGAATCTTCTTTGTGATGAGGGCATTCAACTAACACATTTGAACATTTCTTTTCACAGAGCAGTTTTGAAACACTCTTTTGGTGGAATCTGCCAGAGGATATCTGGAGCGCTTTGAGGGCTATTGTGCCAATGGAAATATCTTCCCCTAAAAACTAGACAGAAACATTCTCAGAAACTACTTTGTGATGTTTGCATTCAACTCACAGAGTTGAACATACCTCTTCATAGAGCAGTTTTGAAAACCTCTTTTTGTAGAATCTGCAAGTGGATATTCGGACCACTTTGAGGCCTTCATAGGAAACAGTAATATCTTCACATAAAAACTAGATAGAAGCATTGTCAGGAAGTTCTTTGTGATGTGTGAATTCAACTCACAGAGTTGAACCTTCCTTTAATAGAGCAGTTTTGAAACACTCTTTTTCTAGAATCTGCAAGTAGATATTTGGAGCGCTTGGAGGCCTTCTTTGGAAACCATAATATCTTCACAGGAAATGTAGATAGAGGCATTCTCAGAAACTTATTTGTGATATGTAGATTCAACTCACAGCGTTGAACCTTTCTTTGGATGGAGCAGTTTTGAAAAACTCTTTTATCGAATCTGCAGGTAGACATTCGGGGTGCTTTGAGGGCTGTGGTGCAAAAGGAAATGTCTTCCCATAGAAACTAGACTGAAGCATTCTCAGAAACTTCTTGGTGACGTTTGCATTCATCTCACAGTGTTGAACATACCTTTCCATAGAGTAGTTTTGAAACACTGTTTTTGTAGAATCGGCAAGTGGATATTTGGACTGCATTGAGGCCTTCATCGGAAACGGGAATATCTTCACATAAACACTAGAGAGAAGCATTCTCAGAAACTTCTTTGTGATCTGTCCATTCAACTCACAGAGTTGAACCTTCCTTTTTATGGAGCAGTTTTGAAACACTGTTTTTGGAGAATCTGCAAGTGGATATTTGGAGCGCTTTTAGGCCTATGGTAGAAAAAGAAATATCTGCCTATTACAACTAGACTGAAGCATTCCGAGAAACTTCTTTGTGATGTTTGCATTCAACTAGCAGAGTTGAACCTTCCTTTTGATAGGGCAGCTTGGAAACACTCTTTTTGTAGAACCCGCATGTGGATATCTGGAGCGGTTTGAGGCCTACGGTCAAAAAGGAAATATCTTCCTGGGAAAAATAGACGAAAGCATTCTCAGAAACTGCTTTGTGATATGTGCATTCGACTCACCGAGTTGAAACATTTTTTTGATAGAGCAGTTTTGAAACACTCTGTAGAATCTGAAAGTGGATATTTGGAGCTCTTTGAGGGCTATGGCGGAAAAGAAAATATATTCACATTAAACTAGACAGCAACATTCTCAGAAACTTCCTTAGGATGTTTGCAGTAAACTCACAGAGTTGAACATACCTTTCCGTAGAGCAGTTTTGAAACACTCTGTTTGTGGGATCCGCAAGTGGATATTTGGACCGCTTTGAGACCTTTGCTGGAAATGGGAATATCTTCACATATAAACTAGACAGAAGCATTCTCAGAAACTTCCTCGTGATGTGTGCATTCTACTCCCGAATTTGAATCTTCCTTTTCCTGAAGCAGTTTTGAAACACTCTGTTTGTGCGATCCACAATTGGATAATTGGAACGCTTTGATGCCCATGGTAGAAAAGGAAATATCCTCATATGAAAACTAGACAGAAGGATTCACAGAAAATGCTTTGTGATGTGTGCATTCAAATCACGGAGTTGAATCTTTCTTTTCTCAGAGCAGTTTTGAAACACTGTTTCTGTGGAATCTGCCAGCGGACACTTGGAGCGCTTTGAGGGCTATGGTGGAGAAGGAAATATCTTCCCATAAAAACTAGAAAGAAGCATTCTCAGAAACATTTATGTGAAGCGTGCATTCAACTCACAGAGTTGAACCTTCCTTTTGATACAACAGTTTTGAAACACCCTTTTGAACAATTGCAGGTGAATCTTTGGAGCGCTTTGAAGCCTTTGTTGGAAATGGGAATATCTTCACACACAAACTAGCCAGAAGCATTCTCAGAAACTTCTTTGTGATGTGTGCGTTGAACCCAGAGAGATGAACCTTTCCTTTGATAGAGCTGTTTTGAAACGTGTTTTTGTAAGGTCTGCAAGCGGATAATGGGCTTCGCTTTGTGTCCTTTGGTGGAAACGGGAATATCTTCTAATAAAAACTAGACAGAAATATTCTCACAATCGTCTTTGTGATGTGGGCATTCAACTAACACAGTTGAACATTTCTTCTCACAGAGCAGTTTTGAAACACTCTTTTGCTAGAATCTGCCAGTGGATACTTGGAGCGCTTTGAGGGCTATTGTGCCAATGGAGATATCTTCCCCTAAAAACTAGACAGAAGCATTCTCAGAAACTACTTTGTGATGTTTGCATTCAACTCACAGAGTTGAACATACCTCTTCATAGAGCAGTTTTGAAAACCTCTTTTTGTAGAATCTGCAAGTGGATATTCGGACCACTTTGAGGCCTTCATAGGAAACAGTAATACCTTCACATGAAAACTAGATAGAAGCATTGTCAGAAAGTTCGTTGTGATGTGTGAATTTAACTCACAGAGTTGAAGCTTCCTTTAATAGAGCAGTTTTGAAACACTCTTTTTCTAGAATCTGCAAGTAGATATTTGGAGCGCTTTGAGGCCTTCGTTGGAAACCGGAATATCTTCACATAAAAAGTAGATAGAGGCATTCTCAGAAACTTTTTTGTGATATGTAGATTCAACTCACAGCGTTGAACCTTTCTTTGGATGGAGCAGTTTTGAAAAACTCTTCTATCGAATCTGCAGGTAGACATTTGGGGTGCTTTGAGGGCTGTGGTGCAAAAGGAAATGTCTTCCCATAGAAACTAGACAGAAGCATTCTCAGCAACTTCTTTGTGACGTTTGCATTCATCTCACAGTGTTGAACTTACCTTTCCATAGAGTAGTTTTGAAGCACTATTTTTGTAGAATCTGCAAGTGGATATTTGGACTGCTTTGAGGCCTTCATCGGAAACGGGAATATCTTCACATAAACACTAGACAGAAGCATTCTCAGAAACTTCTTTGTCATCTGTCCATTCAACTCACAGAGTTGAACCTTCCTTTTTATGGAGCAGTTTTGAAACACTGTTCTTGGAGAATCTGCAAGTGGATATTTGGAGCGCTTAGAGGCCTGTGGTAGAAAAAGAAATATCTGCCTCTAAAAACTAGACAGAAGCATTCTGAGAAACTTCTTTGTGATGTTTGCATTCAACTAGCAGAGTTGAACCTTCCTTTTGATAGGGCAGTTTGGAAACACTCTTTTGTAGAATCTGCATGTGGATATCTGGAGCGATTTGAGGCCTACGGTCAAAAAGGAAATATCTTCCTGGGAAAAATAGACGAAAGCATTCTCAGAAACTGCTTTGTGATATGTGCATTCGACTCACCGAGTTGAAACTTTTTTTGGATAGAGCAGTTTTGAAACACTCTGTAGAATCTGAAAGTGGATATTTGGAGCTCTTTGAGGGCTATGGTGGAAAAGAAAATATATTCACATTAAACTATACAGCAGCATTCTCAGAAACATCTTTAGGATGTTTGCAGTAAACTCATAGAGTTCAACATACCTTTCCGTAGAGCAGCTTTGAAACACTCTGTTTGTGGGATCCGCAAGTGGATATTTGGACCGCTTTGAGACCTTTGCTGGAAATGGGAATATCTTCACATATAAACTAGACAGGAAGCATTCTCAGAAACTTCTTCGTGATGTGTGCATTCTACTCCCGAATTTGAATCTTCCTTTTCATGAAGCAGTTTTGAAACACTCTGTTTGTGCAATCCACAATTGGATAATTGGAACGCTTTGATGCCCATGGTAGAAAAGGAAATAGCCTCATATAAAAACTAGACAGAAGGATTCACAGAAAATGCTTTGTGATGTGTGCATTCAAATCACGGTGTTGAATCTTTCTTTTGTTAGAGCAGTTTTGAAACACTGTTTCTGTGGAATCTGCCAGCGGACACTTGGAGCGCTTTGAGGGCTACGGTGGAGAAGGAAATATCTTCACATAAAAACTAGAAAGAAGCATTCTCAGAAACATTTATGTGAAGCGTGCATTCAACTCACAGAGTTGAACCTTCCTTTTGATAGAACAGTTTTGAAACACTCTTTTGAACATTGCAGGTGAATCTTTGGAGCGCTTTGAAGCCTTTGTTGGAAATGGGAATATCTTCACACACAAACTAGCCAGAAGCATTCTCAGAAACTTCTTTGTGATGTGTGCGTTGAACCCAGAGAGATGAACCTTTCCTTCGATAGAGCAGTTTTGAAACGCGTTTTTGTAAGATCGGCAAGCGGATAATTGGCTTCGCTTTGTGTCCTTTGGTGGAAACGGGAATATCTTCTAATAAAAACTAGACAGAAATATTCTCAGAATCTTCTTTGTGATGTGGGCATTCAACTAACACAGTTGAACGTTTCTTTTCACAGAGCAGTTTTGAAACACTCTTTTGGTAGAATCTGCCAGTGGATATTTGGAGCGCTTTGAGGGCTCTTGTGCCAACGGAAATATCTGCCCCTAAAAACTAGACAGAAGCATTCTCAGAAACTACTTTGTGATGTTTGCATTCAACTCACATAGTTGAACATACCTCTTCATAGAGCAGGTTTGAAAACTTCTTTTTGTATTATCTGCAAGTGGATATTTGGACCACTTTGAGGCCTTCATAGGAAACAGTAATATATTCTCATAAAAACTCGATAGAAGCATTGTCAGAAAGTTCTTTGTGATGTGTGAATTCAACTCACAGAGTTGAACCTTCCTTTCATAGAGCAGTTTTGAAACACTCTTTTTCTAGAATCTGCAAGTAGATATTTGGAGCGCTTTGAGGCCTTCGTTGGAAACCGGACTATCTTCACGTAAAAAGTAGATAGAGGCATTCTCAGAAACTTTTTTTGTGATATGTAGATTCAACTCACAGCGTTGAACCTTTCTTTGGATGGAGCAGTTTTGAAAAACTCTTTTATCGAATCTGCAGGTAGACATTTGGGGTGCTTTGAGGGCTGTGGTGCAAAAGGAAATGTCTTCCCATAGAAACTAGACTGAAGCATTCTCAGCAACTTCTTGGTGACGTTTGCATTCATCTCACAGTGTTGAACATACCTTTCCATAGAGTAGTTTTGAAACACTGTTTGTGTAGAATAGGCAAGTGGATATTTGGACTGCTTTGAGGCCTTCATCGGAAACGGGAATATCTTCACATAAACACTAGAGAGAAGCATTCTCAGAAACTTCTTTGTGATCTGTCCGTTCAACTCACAGAGTTGAACCTTCCTTTTTATGGAGCAGTTTTGAAACACTGCTTGTGGAGAATCTGCAAGTGGATATTTGGAGCGCCTTGAGGCCAATGGTAGAAAAAGAAATATCTGCCTCTAAATACTAGACTGAAGCATTCCGAGAAACTTTTTTGTGATGTTTGCATTCAACTAGCAGAGTTGAACCTTCCTTTTGTAGGGCAGTTTGGAAATACTCATTTTGTAGAATCTGCATGTGGATATCTGGAGCGGTTTGAGGCCTACGGTCAAAAAGGAAATATCTTCCTGGGAAAAATAGACGAAAGCATTCTCAGAAACTGCTTTGTGATATGTGCATTCGACTCACCGAGTTGAAACTTTTTTTTGATAGAGCAGTTTTGAAACACTCTGTAGAATCTGAAAGTAGATATTTGGAGCTCTTTGATGGCTATGGCGGAAATTAAAATATATTCACATTAAAGTAGACAGCAGCATTCTCAGAAACTTCTTTAGGATGTTTGCAGTAAACTCACAGAGTTAAACATATCTTTCCGTAGAGCAGTTTTGAAACACTCTGTTTGTGGGATCCGCAAGTGGATATTTGGGCCCCTTTGAGACCTTTGCTGGAAATGGGAATATCTTCACATATAAACTAGACAGAAGCATTCTCAGAAACTTCTTCGTGATGTGTGCATTCTACTCCCAAATTTGAATCTTCTTTCTCATGAAGCAGTTTTGAAACACTCTATTTGTGCAATCTACAATTGGATAATTGGAACCCTTTGATGCCCATGGTAGAAAAGGAAATATCCTCATATAAAAACTAGACAGAAGGATTCACAGAAAATGCTTTGTGATGTGTGCATTCAAATCACGGAGTTGAATCTTTCTTTTGTTAGAGCAGTTTTGAAACACTGTTTCTGTGGAATCTCCCAGGGGACACTTGGAGCGCTTTGAGGGCTACGGTGGAGAAGGAAATATCTTCTCATAAAAACTAGAAAGAAGCATTCTCAGAAACATTTATGTGAAGCGTGCATTCAACTCACAGAGTTGAAACTTCCTTTTGATAGAACAGTTTTGAAACACTCTTTTGAACAATTGCAGGTGAATCTTTGGAGCGCTTTGAAGCCTTTGTTGGAAATGGGAATATCTTCACACACAAACTAGCCAGAAGCATTCTAAGAAACTTCTTTGTGATGTGTGCGATGAACCCAGAGAGATGAACCTTTCCTTTGATAGAGCAGTTTTGAAAAGTGTTTTTGTAAGATCTGCAAGCGGATAATTGGCTTCCCTTTGTGTCCTCTGGTGGAAATGTGAATATCTTCTAATAAAAACTAGACAGAAATATTCTCAGAATCTTCTTTGTGATGTGGGCATTCAACAAACACAGTTGAACGTTTCTTTTCACAGAGCAGTTTTGAAACACTCTTTTGGTAGAATCTGCCAGTGGATATTTGGAGCGCTTTGAGGGCTATTGTGCCAACGGAAATATCTGCCCCTAAAAAGTAGACAGAAGCATTCTCAGAAACTGCTTTGTGATGTTTGCATTCAACTCACAGAGTTGAACATACCTTTTCATAGAGCAGTTTTGAAAACCTCTTTTTGTAGAATCTGCAAGTGGATATTCGGACCAGTTTGAGGCCTTCATAGGAAACAGTAATATCTTCACATAAAAACTAGATAGAAGCATTGTCAGAAAGTTCTTTGTGATGTGTGAATTCAACTCAGAGAGTTGAACCTTCCTTTAATAGAGCAGTTTTGAAACACTCTTTTTCTAGAATCTGCCAGTAGATATTTGGAGCGCTTTGAGGCCTTCGTTGGAAACCGGAATATCTTCACATAAAAAGTAGATAGAGGCATTCTCAGAAACTTTTTCGTGATATGTAGATTCAACTCACAGCGTTGAACCTTTCTTTTGATAGAGCAGTTTTGTAAAACTCTTTTATCGAATCTGCAAGTAGACATTTGAGTGCTTTGAGGGCTGTTGTGCAAAAGGAAATGTCTTCCCATAGAAACTGGACTGAATCATTCTCAGCAACTTCTTGGTGACGTTTGCATTCATCTCACAGTGTTGAACATACCTTTGCATAGATTAGTTTTGAAACACTGTTTTTGTAGAATCTGCAAGTGGACATTTGGACTGCTTTGAGGCCTTCATTGGAAACGGGAATATCTTCACATAAACACTAGACAGAAGCATTCTCAGAAACTTCTTTGTCATCTGTCCATTCAACTCACAGAGTTGAACCTTCCTTTTTATGGAGCAGTTTTGAAACACTCCTTTTGGAGAATCTGCAAGTGGATATTTGGAGCGCTTTGAGGCCTAGGGTAGAAACAGAAATATCTGCCTCTAAAAACCAGACAGAAGCATTCAGAGAAACTTCTTTGTGATGTTTGCATTCAACTACCAGAGTTGAACCTTCCTTTTGATAGGGCAGTTTGGAAACACTCTTTTTGTAGAATCTGCATGTGGATATCTGGAGCGATTTGAGGCCTACGGTCAAAAAGGAAATATCTTCCTGGGAAAAATAGACGAAAGCATTCTCAGAAACTGCTTTGTGATATGTGCATTCGACTCACCGAGTTGAAACTTTTTTTTTGATAGAGCAGTTTTGAAAAACTCTATAGATTCTGAAAGTGCATATTTGGAGCTCTTTGAGGGCTATGGCGGAAAAGAAAATATATTCACATTAAACTAGACAGCAGCATTCTCAGAAACTTCTTTAGGATGTTTGCAGTAAACTCACAGAGTTGAACATACCTTTCCGTAGAGCAGTTTTGAAACACTCTGTTTGTGGGATCCGCAAGTGGATATTTGGACCGCTTTGGGACCTTTGCTGGAAATGGGAATATCTTCACGTATAAACTAGACAGAAGCATTCTCAGAAACTTCCTCGTGATGTGTGCATTCTACTCCCGAATTTGAATCTTCCTTTTCATGAAGCAGTTTTGAAACACTCTGTTTGTGCAATCCACAATTGGATAATTGGAACGCTTTGATGCCCATGGTAGAAAACGAAATATCCTCATATAAAAACTAGACAGAAGGATTCACAGAAAATGCTTTGTGATGTGTGCATTCAAATCACGGAGTTGAATCTTTCTTTTGTCAGAGCAGTTTTGAAACACTGTTTCTGTGGAATCTGCCAGCGGACACTTGGAGCGCTTTGAGGGATATGGTGGAGAAGGAAATATCTTCCCATAAAAACTAGAAAGAAGCATTCTCAGAAACATTTATGTGAAGCGTGCATTCAACTCACAGAGTTGAACCTTCCTTGTGATACAACAGTTTTGAAACACTCTTTTGAACAATTGCAGGTGAATCTTTGGAGCGCTTTGAAGCCTTTGTTGGAAATGGGAATATCTTCACACACAAACTAGCCAGAAGCATTCTCAGAAACTTCTTTGTGATGCGTGCGTGGAACCCAGAGAGATGAACCTTTCCTTTGATAGAGCAGTTTTGAAACGTGTTTTTGTAAGATCTGCAAGTGGATAATCGGCTTCGCTTTGTGTCCTTTGGTGGAAACGGGAATATCTTCTAATAAAAACTAGACAGAAATATTCTCAGAATCTTCTTTGTGATGAGGGCATTCAACTAACACATTTGAACATTTCTTTTCACAGAGCAGTTTTGAAACACTCTTTTGGTGGAATCTGCCAGTGGATATCTGGAGCGCTTTGAGGGCTATTGTGCCAATGGAAATATCTTCCCCTAAAAACTAGACAGAAGCATTCTCAGAAACTACTTCGTGATGTTTGCATTCAACACACAGAGTTGAACATACCTCTTCACAGAACAGTTTTGAAAACCTCTTTCTGTAGAATCTGCAAGTGGATATTCGGACCACTTTGAGGCCTTCACAGGAAACAGTAATATCTTCACATAAAAACTAGACAGAAGCATTGTCAGAAAGTTCTTTGTGATGTGTGAATTCAACTCACAGAGTTGAACCTTCCTTTAATAGAGCAGTTGTGAAACACTCTTTTTCTAGAATCTGCAAGTAGATATTTGGAGCGCTTTGAGGCCTTCGTTGGAAACCGGAATATCTTCACAGGAAAAGTAGATAGAGGCATTCTCAGAAACTTTTTCGTGATATGTGGATTCAACTCACAGCGTTGAACCTTTCTTTTGATAGAGCAGTTTTGTAAAACTCTTTTATCGAATCTGCATGTAGACATTTGGAGTGCTTTGGGGGCTGTGGTGCAAAAGGAAATGTCTTCCCATAGAAACTAGACTAAAGCATTCTCAGCAACTTCTTTGTGACGTTTGCATTCATCTCACAGTGTTGAACATACCTTTCCATAGAGTAGTTTTGAAACACTGTTTTTGTAGAATCGGCAAGTGGATATTTGGACTGCTTTGAGGCCTTCATCGGAATCGGGAATATCTTCACATAAACACTAGAGAGAAGCATTCTCAGAAACTTCTTTGTTATCTGTCCATTCAACTCACAGAGTTGAACCTTCCTTTTTATGGAGCAGTTTTGAAACACTGTTTGTGGAGAATCTGCAAGTGGATATTTGGAGCGTCTTGAGGCCAATGGTAGAAAAAGAAATATCTGCCTCTAAATACTAGACTGAAGCATTCCGAGAAACTTCTCTGTGATGTTTGCATTCAACTAGCAGAGTTGAACCTTCCTTTTGATAGGGCAGTTTGGAAACACTCTTTTTGTAGAATCTGCATGTGGATATACTGGAGCGGTTTGAGGCCTACGGTCAAAAAGGAAATATCTTCCTGGGAAAAATAGACGAAAGCATTCTCAGAAACTGCTTTGTGATATGTGCATTCGACTCTCCGAGTTGAAACTTTTTTTTGATAGAGCAGTTTTGAAACACTCTGTAGAATCTGAAAGTGTATATTTGGAGCTCTTCGAGGGCTATGGCGGAAAAGAAAATATATTCACATTAAACTAGACAGCAGCATTCTCAGAAACTTCTTTAGGATGTTTGCAGTAAACTCACAGAGTTGAACCTATCTTTCCGTAGAGCAGTTTTGAAACACTCTGTTTGTGGGATCCGCAAGGGGATATTTGGACCGCTTTGAGACCTTTGCTGGAAATGGGAATATCTTCACATATAAACTAGACAGAAGCATTCTCAGAAACTTCTTCGTGATGTGTGCATTCTACCCCCAAATTTGAATCTTCCTTTTCATGAAGCAGTTTTGAAACACTCTATTTGTGCAATCTACAATGGGATAATTGGAACGCTTTGATGCCCATGGTAGAAAAGGAAATATCCTCATATAAAAACTAGACAGAAAGGATTCACAGAAAATGCTTTGTGATGTGTGCATTCAAATCACGGAGTTGAATCTTTCTTTTGTTAGAGCAGTTTTGAAACACTGTTTCTGTGGAATCTGCCAGCGGACACTTGGAGCGCTTTGAGGGCTATGGTGGAGAAGGAAATATCTTCACATAAAAACTAGAAAGAAGCATTCTCAGAAACATTTATGTGAAGTGTGCATTCAACTCACAGAGTTGAACCTTCCTTTTGATAGAACAGTTTTGAAACACTCTTTTGAACAATTGCAGGTGAATCTTTGGAGCGCTTTAAAGCCTTTGTTGGAAATGGGAATATCTTCACACACAAACTAGCCAGAAGCATTCTCAGAAACTTCTTTGTGATGTGTGCGTTGAACCCAGAGAGATGAACCTTTCCTTTGATAGAGCAGTTTTGAAACGTGTTTTTGTAAGATCTGCAAGCGGATAATTGGCTTCGCTTTGTGTCCTTTGTTGGAAACCGGAATATCTTCTAATAAAAACTAGACAGAAATATTCTCAGAATCTTCTTTGTGATGTGGGCATTCAACTAACACAGTTGAACATTTCTTTTCACAGAGCAGTTTTGAAACACTCTTTTGGTGGAATCTGCCAGTGGATATTTGGAGCGCTTTGAGGGCTATTGTGCCAACGGAAATATCTTCCCCTAAAAACTAGACAGAAGCATTCTCAGAAACTACTTCGTGATGTTTGCATTCAACACACAGAGTTGAACATACCTCTTCACAGAGCAGTTTTGAAAACCTCTTTCTGTAGAATCTGCAAGTGGATATTCGGACCACTTTGAGGCCTTCATAGGAAACAGTAATATCTTTGCCTAAAAACTAGATAGAAAGCATTGTCAGAAAGTTCTTTGTGATGTGTGAATTCAACTCACAGAGTTGAACCTTCCTTTAATAGAGCAGTTTTGAAACACTCTTTTTCTAGAATCTGCTAGTAGATATTTGGAGTGCTTGGAGGCCTTCTTTGGAAACCGGAATATCTTCACAGGAAATGTAGATAGAGGCATTCTCAGAAACTTTTTCGTGATATGTGGATTCAACTCACAGCGTTGAACCTTTCTTTTGATAGAGCAGTGTGGTAAAACTCTTTTATCGAATCTGCAAGTAGACATTTGGAGTGCTTTGGGGGCTGTGGTGCAAAAGGAAATGTCTTCCCATAGAAACTAGACTGAAGCATTCTCAGCAACTTCTTGGTGACGTTTGCATTCATCTCACAGTGTTGAACATACCTTTCCATAGAGTGGTTTTGAAACACTGTTTTTGTAGAATCGGCAAGTGGATATTTGGACTGCTTTGAGGCCTTCATCGGAAACGGGAATATCTTCACATAAACACTAGACAGAAGCATTCTCAGAAACTTCTTTGTGGTCTGTCCATTCAACTCACAGAGTTGAACCTTCCTTTTTATGGAGCAGTTTTGAAACACTGTTTTTGGAGAATCTGCAAGTGGATATTTGGAGCCCTTTGAGGCCTATGGTAGAAAAAGAAATATCTGCCTATGAGAACAAGACAGAAGCATTCTGAGAAACTTCTTTGTGATGTTTGCATTCAACTACCAGAGTTGAACCTTCCTTTTGATAGGGCAGTTTGGAAACACTCTTTTTGTAGAGTCTGGATGTGGATATCTGGAGCGATTTGAGGCCTACGGTCCAAAAGGAAATATCTTCCTGGGAAAAATAGACGAAAGCATTCTCAGAAAGGGCTTTGTGATATGCGCATTCGACTCACCGAGTTGAAACTTTTTTTTGATAGAGCAGTTTTGAAACACTCTGTAGAATCTGAAAGTGGATATTTGGAGCTCTTTGAGGGCTATGGCGGAAAAGAAAATATATTCACATTAAAAAAGTAGACAGCGGCATTCTCAGAAACTTCTTTAGGATGTTTGCAGTAAACTCACAGAGTGGAACCTACCTTTCCGTAGAGCAGTTTTGAAACACTCTGTTTGTGGGATCCGCAAGTGGATATTTGGACCGCTTTGAGACCTTTGCTGGAAATGGGAATATCTTCACATATAAACTAGACAGAAGCATTCTCAGAAACTTCTTCGTGATGTGTGCATTCTACTCGCAAATTTGAATCTTCCTTCTCATGAAGCAGTTTTGAAACTCTCTATTTGTGCAATCTACAATTGGATAATTGGAACCCTTTGATGCCCATGGTAGAAAAGGAAATATCCTCATATAAAAACTAGACAGAAGGATTCACAGAAAATGCTTTGTGATGTGTGCATTCAAATCACGGAGTTGAATCTTTCTTTTGTCAGAGCAGTTTTGAAACACTGTTTCTGTGGAATCTGCCAGCGGACACTTGGAGCACTTTGAGGGCTATGGTGGAGAAGGAAATATCTTCCCATAAAAACTAGAGAGAAGTATTCTCAGAAACATTTATGTGAAGCGTGCATTCAACTCACAGAGTTGAACCTTACTTTTGATACAACAGTTTTGAAACACTCTTTTGAACAATTGCAGGTGAATCTTTGGAGCGCTTTGAAGCCTTTGTTGGAAATGGGAATATCTTCACACACAAACTAGCCAGAAGCATTCTCAGAAACTTCTTTGTGATGTGTGCGTTGAACCCAGAGAGATGAACCTTTCCTTTGATAGAGCAGTTTTGAAACGTGTTTTTGTAAGATCGGCAAGCGGATAATTGGTTTCGCTTTGTGTCCTTTGGTGGAAACGGGAATATCTTCTAATAAAAACTAGACAGAAATATTCTCACAATCTCCTTTGTGATGTGGGCATTCAACTAACACAGTTGAACATTTCTTTTCACAGAGCAGTTTTGAAACACTCTTTTGGTAGAATCTGGCAGTGGATATTTGGAGCGCTTTGAGGGCTGTTGTGCCAATGGAAATATCTGCCCCTAAAATCTAGACAGAAGCATTCTCAGAAACTACTTCGTGATGTTTGCATTCAACTCACAGAGTTGAACATACCTCTTCACAGAGCAGTATTGAAAACCTCTTTTTGTAGAATCTGCAAGTGGATATTCGGAGCACTTTGAGGCCTTCATAGGAACCAGTAATATCTTCGCATAAAAACTAGATAGAAGCATTGTCAGAAAGTTCTTTGTGATGTGTGAATTCAACTCACAGAGTTGAACCTTCCTTTAATAGAGCAGTTTTGAAACACTCTTTTTCTAGAATCTGCAAGTAGATATTTGGAGCGCTTGGAGGCCTTCGTTGGAAACCGGAATATCTTCACAGGAAATGTAGATAGAGGCATTCTCAGATACTTTTTCGTGATATGTGGATTCAACTCACAGCGTTGAACCTTTCTTTTGATAGAGCAGTTTTGTAAAACTCTTTTATCGAATCTGCAAGTAGACATTTGGAGTGCTTTGGGGGCTGTGGTGCAAAAGGAAATGTCTTCCCATAGAAACTAGACTGAAGCATTCTCAGCAACTTCTTTGTGACGTTTGCATTCATCTCACAGTGTTGAACATACCTTTCCATAGAGAAGTTTTGAAACACTAATTTTGTAGAATCTGCAAGTGGATATTTGGACTGCTTTGAGGCCTTCATTGGAAACGGGAATATCTTCACATAAACACTAGACAGAAGCATTCTCAGAAACTTCTTTGTGATCTGTCCATTCAACTCACAGAGTTGAACCTTCCTTTTTATGGAGCAGTTTTGAATCACTGTTTTTGGAGAATCTGCAAGTGGATATTTGGAGCGCTTTGAGGCCTATGGTAGAAAATGAAATATCTGCCTCTAAAAACCAGACAGAAGCATTCTGAGAAACTTCTTTGTGATGTTTGCATTCAACTACCAGTAGTTGAACCTTCCTTTTGATAGGGCAGTTTGGAAACACTCTTTTTGTAGAATCTGCATGTGGATATCTGGAGCGATTTGAGGCCTACGGTCAAAAAGGAAATATCTTCCTGGGAAAAATAGACGAAAGCATTCTCAGAAACTGCTTTGTGATATGTGCATTCGACTCAGCGAGTTGAAACTTTTTTTTGATAGAGCAGTTTTGAAACACTCTGTAGAATCTGAAAGTGGATATTTGGAGCTCTTTGAGGGCTATGGCGGAAAAGAAATTATATTCACATGAAACTAGACAGCAGCATTCCCAGAAGCTTCTTTAGGATGTTTGCTGTAAACTCACAGAGTTGAACATACCTTTCCGTAGAGCAGCTTTGAAACACTCTGTGTGTGGGATCCGCAAGTGGATATTTGGACCGCTTTGAGACCTTTGCTGGAAACGGGAATATCTTCACATATAAACTGGACAGAAGCATTCTCAGAAACTTCTTCGTGATGTGTGCATTGTACTCCCAAATTTGAATCTTCCTTCTCATGCAGCAGTTTTGAAACACTCTGTTTGTGCAATCTACAATTGGAGAATTGGAACGCTTGGATGCCCGTGGTAGAAAAGGAAATATCCTCATATAAAAACTAGACAGAAGGATTCACAGAAAATGCTTTGTGATGTGTGCATTCAAATCACGGAGTTGAATCTTTCTTTCGTCAGAGCAGTTTTGAAACACTGTTTCTGTGGAATCTGCCAGCGGACACTTGGAGCGCTTTGAGGGCTATGGTGGAGAAGGAAATATCTTCCCATAAAAACTAGAAAGAAGCATTCTCAGAAACATTTATGTGAAGCGTGCATTCAACTCACAGAGTTGAACCTTCCTTTTGATACAACAGTTTTGAAACACTCTTTTGAACAATTGCAGGTGAATCCTTGGAGCGCTTTGAAGCCTTTGTTGGAAATGGGAATATCTTCACACACAAACTAGCCAGAAGCATTCTCAGAAACTTCTTTGTGATGTGTGCGTTGAACCCAGAGAGATGAACTTTTCCTTTGATAGAGCAGTTTTGAAACGTGTTTTTGTAAGATCGGCAAGTGGATAATTGGCTTCGCTTTGTGTCCTTTGTTGGAAACGGGAATATCTTCTAATAAAAACTAGACAGAAATATTCTCAGAATCTCCTTTTTGATGTGGGCATTCAACTAACACAGTTGAACATTTCTTTTCACAGAGCAGTTTTGAAACACTCTTTTGGTAGAATCTGCCAGTGGATATTTGGAGCGCTTGGAGGGCTATTGTGCCAATGGAAATATCTGCCCCTGAAAACTAGACAGAAGCATTCTCAGAAACTACTTTGTGATGTTTGCATTCAACTCACAGAGATGAACATACCTCTTTATAGAGCAGTTTTGAAATCCTCTTTCTGTAGAATCTGCAAGTGGATATTCGGACCACTTTGAGGCCTTCATAGAAAACAGTAATATCTTCACATAAAAACTAGATTCAAGCATTCTCGGAAACTTCTTTGTGATGTGTGAATTCACCTCACAGAGTTGAACCTTCGATAAATAGAGCAGTTTTGAAACACTCTTTTTGTAGAATCTGCAATAGATATTTGGAGCGCTTTGAGGCCTTCGTTGGAAAACGGAATGTCTTCACATAAAAAGTAGATAGAAGCATTCTCAGAAACTACTTTGTGATCTCTCCATTCAACTCACAGATTTGAACCTTCCTTTTGATAGAGCGGTTTTGAAAAACTCTTATATCGAATCTGCAAGTAGATATTTGGAGTGCTTTGAGGGCTGTGGTGCAAAAGGAAATGTCTTCCCATAGAAACTAGACTGAAGCATTCTCAGCAACTTCTTTGTGACGTTTGCATTCATCTCACAGTGTTGAACATACCTTTTCATAGAGCAGTTTTGAAACACTATTTTTGTAGTATCTGCAAGTGGATATTTGGACTGCTTTGAGGCCTTCATTGGAAACGGGAATATCTTCACATAAACACTAGACAGAAGCATTCTCAGAAACTTCTTTGTGATCTGTCCATTCAACTCACAGAGTTGGACCTTCCTTTTTATGGAGCAGTTTTGAATCACTGTTTTTGGAGAATCTGCAAGTGGATATTTGGAGCGCTTTGAGGCCTATGGTAGAAAAAGAAATATCTGCCTCTAAAAACCAGACAGAAGCATTCTGAGAAACTTCTTTGTGATGTTTACATTCAACTACCAGAGTTGAACCTTCCTTTTGATAGGGCAGTTCGGAAACACTCTTTTTGTAGAATCTGCATGTGGATATCTGGAGCGATTTGAGGCCTACGGTCCAGAAGGAAATATCTTCCTGGGAAAAATGGACGAAAGCATTCTCAGAAACTGCTTTGTGATATGTGCATTTGACTCACCGAGTTGAAACTTTTTTTTGATAGAGCAGTTTTGAAACACTCTGTAGAATCTGAAAGTGGATATTTGGAGCTCTTTGAGGGCTATGGCGGCAAAGAAACTATATTCACATTAAAGTAGACAGCAGCATTCTCAGAAACTTCTTTAGGATGTTTGCAGTAAACTCACAGAGTTGAACATACCTTTCCGTAGAGCAGTTTTGAAACACTCTGTTTGTGGGATCCGCACGTGGATATTTGGACCGCTTTGAGACCTTTGCTGGAAATGGGAGTATCTTCACGTATAAACTAGACAGAAGCATTCTCAGAAACTTCTTCGTGATGTGTGCATTGTACTCCCAAATTTGAATCTTCCTTCCCAAGGAGCAGTTTTGAAACACTCTGTTTGTGCAATCTACAATTGGAGAATTGGAACGCTTGGATGCCCGTGGTAGAAAAGGAAATATCCTCATATAAAAACTAGACAGAAGTATTCACAGAAAATGCTTTGTGATGTGTGCATTCAAATCACGGAGTTGAATCTTTCTTTTGTTAGAGCAGTTTTGAAACACTGTTTCTGTGGAATCTGCCAGCGGACACTTGGAGCGCTTTGAGGGCTACGGTGGAGACGGAAATATCTTCACATAAAAACTAGAAAGAAGCATTCTCAGAAACATTTATGTGAAGCGTGCATTCAACTCACAGAGTTGAACCTTCCTTTGGATACAACAGTTTTGAAACACTCTTTTGAACAATTGCAGGTGAATCTTTGGAGCGCTTTGAAGCCTTTGTTGGAAATGGGAATATCTTCACACACAAACTAGCCAGAAGCATTCTCAGAAACTTCTTTGTGATGTGTGCGTTGAACCCAGAGAGATGAACCTTTCCTTTGATAGAGCAGTTTGGAAACGTGTTTTTGTAAGATCTGCAAGCGGATAATTGGCTTCGCTTTGTGTCCTTTGGTGGAAACGGGAATATCTTCTAATAAAAACTAGACAGAAATATTCTCAGAATCTTCTTTGTGATGTGGGCATTCAACTAACAGAGTTGAACGTTTCTTTTCACAGAGCAGTTTTGAAACACTCTTTTGGTAGAATCTGCCAGTGGATATTTGGTGCGCTTTGAGGGCTATTGTGCCAACGGAAATATCTGTCCCTAAAAACTAGACAGAAGCATTCTCAGAAACTGTTCGTGATGTTTGCATTCAACTCACAGACTTGAACATACCTCTTCATAGAGCAGTTTTGAAAACCTCTTTTTGTAGAATCTGCAAGTGGATATTCGGACCACTTTGAGGCCTTCATAGGAAACAGTAATATCTTCACATAAAAACTAGATAGAAGCATTGTCAGAAAGTTCTTTGTGATGTGTGAATTCAACTCACAGAGTTGAACCTTCCTTTAATAGAGCAGTTTTGAAACACTCTTCTTCTAGAATCTGCACGTAGATATTTGGAGCGCTTTGAGGCCTTCGTTGGAAACCGGAATATCTTCACAGAAAAAGTAGATAGAGGCATTCTCAGAAACATTTTTTGTGATATGTAGACTCAACTCACAGCAGTTGAACCTTTCTTTGGATGGAGCAGTTTTAAAAAACTCTTTTATCGAATCTGCAGGTAGACATTTGGGGTGCTTTGAGGGCTGTGGTGCAAAAGGAAATGTCTTCCCATAGAAACTAGACTGAAGCATTCTCAGCAACTTCTTTGTGACGTTTGCATTCATCTCACAGTGTTGAACATACCTTTCCATAGGGTAGTTTTGAAGCACTATTTTTGTAGAATCTGCAAGTGGATATTTGGACTGCTTTGAGGCCTTCATCGGAAACGGGAATATCTTCACATAAACACTAGACAGAAGCATTCTCAGAAATTTCTTTGTGGTCTGTCCATTCAACTCACAGAGTTGAACCTTCCTTTTTATGGAGCAGTTTTGAAACACTGTTTTTGGAGAATCTGCAAGTGGATATTTGGAGCGCTTTGAGGCCTATGGTAGAAAAAGAAATATCTGCCTATGACAACAAGACAGAAGCATTCCGAGAAACTTCTTTGTGATGTTTGCATTCAACTAGCAGAGTTGAACCTTCCTTTTGATAGGGCAGTTTGGAAACACTCTTTTTGTAGAATCTGCATGTGGATATCTGGAGCGGTTTGAGGCCTACGGTCAAAAAGGTAATATCTTCCTGGGAAAAATAGACGAAAGCATTCTCAGAAACTGCTTTGTGATATGGGCATTCGACTCACCGAGTTGAAACTTTTTTTTGATAGAGCAGTTTTGAAACACTCTGTAGAATCTGAAAGTGGATATTTGGAGCTCTTTGAGGGCTATGGCGGAAAAGAAAATATATTCACATTAAAGTAGACAGCAGCATTCTCAGAGACTTCTTTAGGATGTTTGCAGTAAACTCACAGAGTTGAACATACCTTTCCGTAAAGCAGTTTTGAAACCTTCTGTTTGTGGGATCTGCAAGTGGATATTTGGACCGCTTTGAGACCTTTGCTGGAAATGGGAATATCTTCACATATAAACTAGCCAGAAGCATTCTCAGAAACTTCTTCGTGATGTGTGCATTCTACTCCCAAAGTTGAACCTTCCTTTTCATAAAGCAGTTTTGAAACACTCCTTTTGTACAATCTACAATTGGATAATTGGAACGCTTTGATGCCCGTGGAAGAAAAGGAAATCTCCTCATATAAAAACTAGACAGAAGGATTCACAGAAAATGCTTTGTGATGTGTGCATTCAAATCACGGAGTTGAATCTTTCTTTTGTCAGAGCAGTTTTGAAACACTGTTTCTGTGGAATCTGCCAGCGGACACTTGGAGCACTTTGAGGGCTATGGTGGAGAAGGAAATATCTTCCCATAAAAACTAGAAAGAAGCATTCTCAGAACCATTTATGTGAAGCGTGCATTCAACTCACAGAGTTGAACCTTCCTTTTGATAGAACAGTTTTGAAACACTCTTTTGAACAATTGCAGGTGAATCTTTGGAGCGCTTTGAAGCCTTTGTTGGAAATGGGAATATCTTCACACACAAACTAGCCAGAAGCATTCTCAGAAACTTCTTTGTGATGTGTGCTTTGAACCCAGAGAGATGAACCTTTCTTTTGATAGAGCAGTTTTGAAACGTGTTTTTGTAAGTTCGGCAAGCGGATAATTGGCTTCGCTTTGTTTCCTTTGGTGGAAACGGGAATATCTTCTAATAAAAACTAGACAGAAATATTCTCAGAATCTGCTTTGTGATGTGGGCATTCAACTAACACAGTTGAACATTTCTTTTCACAGAGCAGTTTTGAAACACTCTTTTGGTAGAATCTGCCAGTGGATATTTGGAGCGCTTGGAGGGCTATTGTGCCAATGGAAATATCTGCCCCTGAAAACTAGACAGAAGCATTCTCAGAAACTACTTCGTGATGTTTGCATTCAACTCACCGAGTTGAACATACCTCTTCATAGAGCAGTTTTGAAAACCTCTTTCTGTAGAATCTGCAAGTGGATATTCGGACCACTTTGAGGCCTTCATAGGAAACAGTAATATCTTCACATAAAAACTAGATAGAAGCATTGTCAGAAAGTTCTTTGTGATGTGTGAATTCAACTCACAGAGTTGAACCTTCCTTTAATAGAGCAGTTGTGAAACACTCTTTTTCTAGAATCTGCAAGTAGATATTTGGAGCGCTTGGAGGCCTTCGTTGGAAACCGGAATATCTTCACAGGAAATGTAGATAGAGGCATTCTCAGATACTTTTTCGTGATATGTGGATTCAACTCACAGCTTTGAACCTTTCTTTTGATAGAGCAGTTTTGTAAAACTCTTTTATCGAATCTGCAAGTAGACATTTGGAGTGCTTTGAGGGCTGTGGTGCAAAAGGAAATGTCTTCCCATAGAAACTAGACTGAAGCATTCTCAGCAACTTCTTTGTGACGTTTGCATTCATCTCACAGTGTTGAACATACCTTTCCATAGAGTAGTTTTGAAGCACTATTTTTGTAGAATCTGCAAGTGGATATTTGGACTGCTTTGAGGCCTTCATCGGAAACGGGAATACCTTCTCATAAACACTAGACAGAAGCATTCTCAGAAACTTCTTTGTGATCTGTCCATTCAACTCACAGAGTTGAACCTTCCTTTTTATGGAGCAGTTTTGAAAGACTGTTTGTGGAGAATCTGCAAGTGGATATTTGGAGCGCCTTGAGGCCAATGGTAGAAAAAGAAATATCTGCCTCTAAATACTAGACTGAAGCATTCCGAGAAACTTCTTTGTGATGTTTGCATTCAACTAGCAGAGTTGAACCTTCCTTTTGATAGGGCAGTTTGGAAACACTCTTTGTGTAGAATCTGCATGTGGATATCTGGAGCGGTTTGAGGCCTACGGTCAAAAAGGAAATATCTTCCTGGGAAAAATAGACGAAAGCATTCTCAGAAACTGCTTTGTGATATGGGCATTCGACTCATCGAGTTGAAACTTTTGTTTGATAGAGCAGTTTTGAAACACTCTGTAGAATCTGAAAGTGGATATTTGGAGATCTTTGAGGGCTATGGCGGAAAACAAAATATATTCACATTAAAGTAGACAGCAGCATTCTTAGAAACTTCTTTAGGATGTTTGCAGTAAACTCACAGAGTTGAACCTACCTTTCCGTAGAGGAGTTTTGAAACACTCTGTTTGTGGGATCCGCAAGTGGATATTTGGACCGCTTTGAGACCTTTGCTGGAAATGGGAATATCTTCACATATAAACTAGACAGAAGCATTCTCAGAAACTTCTTTGTGATGTGTGCGTTGAACCCAGAGAGATGAACTTTTCCTTTGATAGAGCAGTTTTGAAACGTGTTTTTGTAAGATCTGCAAGCGGATAATTGGCTTCGCTTTGTGTCCTTTGGTGGAAACGGGTATATCTTCTAATAAAAACTAGACAGAAATATTCTCAGAATCTCCTTTGTGATGTGGGCATTCAACTAACACAGTTGAACATTTCTTTTAACAGAGCAGTTTTGAAACACTCTTTTGGTAGAATCTGCCAGTGGATATTTGGAGCGCTTGGAGGGCTATTGTGCCAATGGAAATATCTGCCCCTGAAAACTAGACAGAAGCATTCTCAGAAACTACTTTGTGATGTTTGCATTCAACTCACAGAGTTGAACATACCTCTTCATAGAGCAGTCTTGAAAACCTCTTTTTGTAGAATCTGCAAGTGGATATTCGGACCACTTTGAGGCCTTCATAGGAAACAGTAACATCTTCACATAAAAACTAGATAGAAAACATTGTCAGAAAGTTCTTTGTGATGTGTGAATTCAACTCACAGAGTTGAACCTTCCTTTAATAGAGCAGTTTTGAAACACTCTTTTTCTAGAATCTGCAAGTAGATATTTGGAGCGCTTTGAGGCCTTCGTTGGAAACCGGAATATCTTCACAGGAAAAGTAGATAGAGGCATGCTCAGAAACTTTTTTGTCATATGTAGATTCAACTCACAGCGTTGAACCTTTCTTTTGATAGAGCAGTTTTGAAAAACTCTTTTATCGAATCTGCAAGTAGACATTTGGAGTGCTTTGAGGGCTGTGGTGCAAAAGGAAATGTCTTCCCATAGAAACTAGACTGAAGCATTCTCAGCAACTTCTTTGTGACGTTTGCATTCATCTCACAGTGTTGAACATACCTTTTCATAGAGTAGTTTTGAAACACTATTTTTGTAGAATCTGCAAGTGGATATTTGGACTGCATTGAGGCCTTCATTGGAAACGGGAATGTCTTCACATAAACACTAGACAGAAGCATTCTCAGAAACTACTTTGTGATCTGTCTATTCAACTCACAGAGTTGAACCTTCCTTTTTATGGAGCAGTTTTGAAACACTGTTTTTGGAGAATCTGCAAGTGGATATTTGGAGCGCTTTGAGGCCTATGGTAGAAAAAGAAATATCTGCCTATTACAACTAGACAGAAGCATTCTGAGAAACTTCTTTGTGATGTTTGCATTCAACTACCAGAGTTGAACCTTCCTTTTGATAGGGCAGTTTGGAAACACTCTTTTTGTAGAATCTGCATGTGGATATCTGGAGCGATTTGAGGCCTACGGTCCAAAAGGAAATATCTTCCTGGGAAAAAAAGACGAAAGCATTCTCAGAAAGTGCTTTGTGATATGTGCATTCGACTCACCGAGTTGAAACTTTTTTTTGATAGAGCAGTTTTGAAACACTCTGTAGAATCTGAAAGTGGATAGTTGGAGCTCTTTGACGGCTATGGCGGAAAAGAAAATATATTCACATTAAAGTAGACAGCAGCATTCTCAGAAACTTCTTTAGGATGTTTGCAGTAAACTCACAGAGTTGAACATACCTTTCCGTAGAGCAGTTTTGAAACACTCTGTTTGTGGGATCCGCAAGTGGATATTTGGACCGCTTTGAGACCTTTGCTGGAAATGGGAATATCTTGACGTATAAACTAGACAGAAGCATTCTCAGAAACTTCTTCGTGATGTGTGCAGTCTACTCCCGAATTTGAATCTTCCTTTTCATGAAGCAGTTTTGAAACACTCTGTTTGTGCAATCCACAATTGGATAATTGGAACGCTTTGATGCCCATGTTAGAAAAGGAAATATCCTCATATAAAAACTAGACAGAAGGATTCACAGAAAATGCTTTGTGATGTGTGCATTCGAATCACGGAGTTGAATCTTTCTTTTGTTAGAGCAGTTTTGAAACACGGTTTCTGTGGAATCTGCCAGCGGACACTTGGAGCGCTTTGAGGGCTATGGTGGAGAAGGAAATATCTTCCCATAAAAACTAGAAAGAAGCATTCTCAGAAACATGTATGTGAAGCGTGCATTCAACTCACAGAGTTGAACCTTCCTTTTGATACAACAGTTTTGAAACACTCTTTTGAACAATTGCAGGTGAATCTTTGGAGCGCTTTGAAGCCTTTGTTGGAAATGGGAATATCTTCTCACACAAACTAGTCAGAAGCATTCTCAGAAACTTCTTTGTGATGTGTGCGTTGAACCCAGAGAGATGAACCTTTCCTTGGAAAGAGCAGTTTTGAAACGTGTTTTTGTAAGATCGGCAAGCGGATAATTGGCTTCGCTTTGTGTCCTTTGGTGGAAACGGGAATATCTTCTAATAAAAACTAGACAGAAATATTCTCAGAATCTCCTTTGTGATGTGGGCATTCAACTAACACAGTTGAACATTTCTTTTCACAGAGCAGTTTTGAAACACTCTTTTGGTAGAATCTGCCAGTGGATATTTGGAGCGCTTGGAGGGCTATTGGGCCAATGGAAATATCTGCCCTTGAAAACTAGACAGAAGCATTCTCAGAAACTGCTTTGTGATGTTTGCATTCAACTCACAGAGTTGAACATACCTTTTCATAGAGCAGTTTTGAAAACCTCTTTTTGTAGAATCTGCAAGAGGATATTCGGACCACTTTGAGGCCTTCATAGGAAACAGTAATATCTTCACGTAAAAATTAGATAGAAAGCATTGTCAGAAAGTTCTTTGTGATGTGTGAATTCAACTCACAGAGTTGAACCTTCCTTTAATAGAGCAGTTTTGAAACACTCTTTTTCTAGAATCTGCCAGTAGATATTTGGAGCGCTTTGAGGCCTTCGTTGGAAACCGGAATATCTTCACATAAAAAGTAGATAGAGGCATGCTCAGAAACTTTTTTGTCATATGTAGATTCAACTCACAGCGTTGAACCTTTCTTTTGATAGAGCAGTTTTGAAAAACTCTTTTATCGAATCTGCAAGTAGACATTTGGAGTGCTTTGAGGGCTGTGGGGCAAAAGGAAATGTCTTCCCATAGAAACTAGACTGACGCATTCTCAGCAACTTCTTTGTGACGTTTGCATTCATCTCACAGTGTTGAACATACCTTTCCATAGAGTAGTTTTGAAGCACTATTTTTGTAGAATCTGCAAGTGGATATTTGGACTGCTTTGAGGCCTTCATCGGAAACGGGAATATCTTCACATAAACACTAGACAGAAGCATTCTCAGAAACTTCTTTGTGATCTGTCCATTCACCTCACAGAGTTGAACCTTCCTTTTTATGGAGCAGTTTTGAAACACTGTTTGTGAAGAATCTGCAAGTGGATATTTGGAGCGCCTTGAGGCCAATGGTAGAAAAAGAAATATCTGCCTCTAAATACTAGACTGAAGCATTCTGAGAAACTTCTTTGTGATGTTTGCATTCAACTACCAGAGTTGAACCTTCCTTTTGATAGGGCAGTTTGGAAACACTCTTTTTGTAGAATCTGCATGTGGATATCTGGAGCGATTTGAGGCCTATGGTCAAAAAGGAAATATCTTCCTGGGAAAAATAGACGAAAGCATTCTCAGCAACTGCTTTGTGATATGTGCATTCGACTCACCGAGTTGAAACTTTTTTTTGATAGAGCAGTTTTGAAACACTCTGTAGAATCTGAAAGTGGATATTTGGAGATCTTTGAGGGCTATGGCGGAAAAGAAAATATATTCACATTAAAGTAGACAGCAGCATTCCCAGAAACTTCTTTAGGTTGTTTGCAGTAAACTCACAGAGTTGAACACACCTTTCCGTAGAGCAGTTTTGAAACACTCTGTTTGTGGGATCCGCAAGTGGATATTTGGACCCCTTTGAGACCTTTGCTGGAAATGGGAATATCTTCACATATAAACTAGACAGAAGCATTCTCAGAAACTTCTTCGTGATGTGTGTATTCTACTCCCAAATTTGAATCTTCCTTTTCATGAAGCAGTTTTGAAACACTCTATTTGTGCATTCTACAATTGGATGATTGGAACGCTTTGATGCCCATGGTAGAAAAGGAAATATCCTCATATAAAAACTAGACAGAAGGATTCACAGAAAATGCTTTGTGATGTGTGCATTCAAATCACGGAGTTGAATCTTTCTTTTGTTAGAGCAGTTTTGAAACACTGTTTCTGTGGAATCTGCCAGCGGACCCTTGGAGCGCTTTGAGGGCTACGGTGGAGAAGGAAATATCTTCACATAAAAACTAGAAAGAAGCCTTCTCAGAAACATGTATGTGAAGCGTGCATTCAACTCACAGAGTTGAACCTTCCTTTTGATAGAACAGTTTTGAAACACTCTTTTGAACAATTGCAGGTGAATCTTTGGAGCGCTTTGAAGCCTTTGTTGGAAATGGGAATATCTTCACACACAAACTAGCCAGAAGCATTCTCAGAAACTTCTTTGTGATGTGTGCGTTGAACCCAGAGAGATGAACCTTTCCTTTGATAGAGCAGTTTGGAAACGTGTTTTTGTAAGATCGGCAAGCGGATAATTGGCTTCGCTTTGTGTCCTTTGGTGGAAACGGGAATATCTTCTAATAAAAACTAGACAGAAATATTCTCAGAATCTTCTTTGTGATGTGGGTATTCAACTAACACAGTTGAACCTTTCTTTTGACAGAGCAGTTTTGAAACACACTTTTAGTAGAATCTGCCCGTGGATATTTGGGGCGCTTTGAGGGCTATTGTGCAAATGGAAATATCTTCACCTAAATACTAGACAGAAGCATTCTCAGAAACTGCTTTGTGATGTTTGCATTCAACTGACAGAGTTGAACATACCTCTTCATAGAGCAGTTTTGAAAACCTCTTTTTGTAGAATCTGCAAGTGGATATTCGGACCACTTTGAGGCCTTCATAGGAAACAGTAATATCATCACACAAAAACTAGATAGAAGCATTGTCAGAAAGTTCGTTGTGATGTGTGAATTCAACTCACAGAGTTGTAGCTTCCTTTAATAGAGCAGTTTTGAAACACTCTTTTTCTAGAGTCTGCAAGTAGATATTTGGAGCGCTTTGAGGCCTTCGTTGGAAACCGGAATATCTTCACATAAAAAGTAGATAGAGGCATGCTCAGAAACTTTTTTGTCATATGTAGATTCAACTCACAGCGTTGAACCTTTCTTTTGATAGAGCAGTTTTGAAAAACTCTTTTATCGAATCTGCAAGTAGACATTTGGAGTGCTTTGACGGCTCTGGTGCAAAAGGAAATGTCTTCCCATAGAAACTAGACTGAAGCATTCTCAGCAACTTCTTGGTGACGTTTGCATTCATCTCACAGTGTTGAACATACCTTTCCATAGAGTGGTTTTGAAACACTGTTTTTGTAGAATCGGCAAGTGGGTGTTTGGACTGCTTTGAGGCCTTCATCGGAAACGGGAATATCTTCACATAAACACTAGAGAGAAGCACTCTCAGAAACTTCTTTGTGATCTGTCCATTCAACTCACAGAGTTGAACCTTCCTTTTTCTGGAGCAGTTTTGAAACACTCTTTTTGGAGAATCTGCAAGTGGATATTTGGAGCGCTTTGAGGCCTATGGTAGAAAAAGAAATATCTGCCTCTAAAAACCAGACAGAAGCATTCCGAGAAACTTCTCTGTGATGTTTGCATTCAAGTAGCAGAGTTGAACCTTCCTTTTGATAGGGTAGTTTGGAAACACTCTTTTTGTAGAATCTGCATGTGGATATCTGTAGCGGTTTGAGGCCTACGGTCAAAAAGGAAATATCTTCCTGGGAAAAATAGACGAAAGCATTCTCAGAAAGGGCTTTGTGATATGCGCATTCGACTCACCGAGTTGAAACTTTTTTTTGATAGAGCAGTTTTGAAACACTCTGTAGAACCTGAAAGTGGATATTTGGAGCTCTTTCAGGGCTATGACGGAAAAGAAAATATATTCACATTAAAGTAGACAGCAGCATTCTCAGAAACTTCTTTAGGATGTTTGCAGTAAACTCACAGAGTTGAACCTACCTTTCCGTAGAGCAGTTTTGAAACACTTTGTTTGTGGGATCCGCAAGTGGATATTTGGACCGCTTTGAGACCTTTGCTGGAAATGGGAATATCTTCACATATAAACTAGACAGAAGCATTCTCAGAAACTTCCTCTTGATGTGTGCATTCTACTCCCGAATTTGAATCTTCCTTTTCATGAAGCAGTTTTGAAACACTCTGTTTGTGCAATCCACAATTGGATAATTGGAACGCTTTGATGCCCATGGTAGAAAAGGAAATATCCTCATATAAAAACTAGACAGAAGGATTCACAGAAAATGCTTTGTGATGTGTGCATTCAAATCACCGGAGTTGAATCTTTCTTTTGTTAGAGCAGTTTTGAAACACTGTTTCTGTGGAATCTGCCAGCGGACACTTGGAGCGCTTTGAGGGCTATGGTGGAGAAGGAAATATCTTCACATAAAAACTAGAAAGAAGCATTCTCGGAAACATTTATGTGAAGCGTGCCTTCAACTCACAGAGTTGAACCTTCCTTTTGATAGAACAGTTTTGAAACACTCTTTTGAACAATTGCAGGTGAATCTTTGGAGCGCTTTGAAGGCTTTGTTGGAAATGGGAATATCTTCCCACACAAACTAGCCAGAAGCATTCTCAGAAACTTCTTTGTGATGTGTGCGTTGAACCCAGCAGAGATGAACCTTTCCTTTGATAGAGCAGTTTTGAAACGTGTTTTTGTAAGGTCTGCAAGCGGATAATGGGCTTCGCTTTGTGTCCTTTGGTGGAAACGGGAATATCTTCTAATAAAAACTAGACAGAAATATTCTCAGAATCTCCTTTGTGATGTGGGCATTCAACTTACACAGTTGAACATTTCTTTTCACAGAGCAGTTTTGAAACACTCTTTTGGTAGAATCTGCCAGTGGATATTTGGAGCGCTTGGAGGGCTATTGTGCCAATGGAAATATCTGCCCCTGAAAACTAGACAGAAGCATTCTCAGAAACTGCTTTGTGATGTTTGCATTCAACTCACAGAGTTGAACCTACCTCTTCATAGAGCAGTTTGGAAAACCTCTTCTTGTAGAATCTGCAAGTGGGTATTCGGACCACTTTGAGGCCTTCATAAGAAACAGTAATATCTTCACATAAAAACTAGATAGAAGCATTGTCAGAAAGCTCTTTGTGATGTGTGAATTCAACTCACAGAGTTGAACCTTCCTTTAATAGAGTAGTTTTGAAACACTCTTTTTCTAGAATCTGCAAGTAGATATTTGGAGTGCTTTGAGGCCTTCGTTGGAAACCGGAATATCTTCACAGGAAAAGTAGATAGAGGCATTCTCAGAAACTTTTTTGTGATATGTAGATTCATCTCACAGCGTTGAACCTTTCTTTTGATAGAGTAGTTTGGAAAAACTCTTTTATCGAATCTGCAAGTAGACATTTGGAGTGCTTTGAGGGCTGTGGTGCAAAAGGAAATGTCTTCCCATAGAAACTAGACTGAAGCATTCTCAGCAACTTCTTTGTGACGTTTGCATTGATCTCACAGTGTTGAACATACCTTTGCATAGAGTAGTTTTGAAACACTATTTTTGTAGAATCTGCAAGTGGATATTTGGACTGCTTTGAGGCCTTCATCGGAAACGGGAATATCTTCACATAAACACTGGACAGAAGCATCCTCAGAAACTTCTTTGTCATCTGTCCATTCAACTCACAGAGTTGAACCTTCCTTTTTCTGGAGCAGTTTTGAAACACTCTTTTTGGAGAATCTGCAAGTGGATATTTGGAGCGCTTTGAGGCCTATGGTAGAAAAAGAAATATCTGCCCCTAAACACCAGACAGAAGCATTCCGAGAAACTTCTTTGTGATGTTTGCATTCAACTAGCAGAGTTGAACCTTCCTTTTGATAGGGCAGTTTGGAAACACTCTTTTTGTAGAACCTGCATGTGGATATCTGGAGCGGTTTGAGGCCTACGGTCAAAAAGGAAATATCTTCCTGGGAAAAATAGACGAAAGCATTCTCAGAAACTGCTTTGTGATATGTGCATTCGACTCTCCGAGTTGAAACTTTTTTTTGATAGAGCAGTTTTGAAACACTCTGTAGAATCTGAAAGTGGATATTTGGAGCTCTTCGAGGGCTATGGCGGAAAAGAAAATATATTCACATTAAACTAGACAGCAAGCATTCCCAGAAACTTCTTTAGGTTGTTTGCAGTAAACTCACAGAGTTGAACACACCTTTCCGTAGAGCAGTTTTGAAACACTCTGTTTGTGGGATCCGCAAGTGGATATTTGGACCCCTTTGAGACCTTTGCTGGAAACGGGAATATCTTCACATATAAACTAGACAGAAGCATTCTCAGAAACTTCTTCGGTGATGTGTGCATTGTACTCCCAAATTTGAATCTTCCTTCTCATGGAGCAGTTTTGAAACACTCTGTTTGTGCAATCTACAATTGGAGAATTGGAACGCTTGGATTCCCATGGTAGAAAAGGAAATATCCTCATATAAAAACTAGACAGAAGGATTCACAGAAAATGCTTTGTGATGTGTGCATTCAAATCACGGAGTTGAATCTTTCTTTTGTTAGAGCAGTTTTGAAAGACTGTTTCTGTGGAATCTGCCAGCGGACACTTGGAGCGCTTTGAGGGCTACGGTGGAGAAGGAAATATCTTCACATAAAAACTAGAAAGAAGCATTCTCAGAAACATTTATGTGAAGCGTGCATTCAACTCACAGAGTTGAACCTTCCTTTTGATACAACAGTTTTGAAACACTCTTTTGAACAATTGCAGGTGAATCTTTGGAGCGCTTTGAAGCCTTTGTTGGAAATGGGAATATCTTCACACACAAACTATCCAGAAGCATTCTCGGAAACTTCTTTGTGATGTGTGCGTTGAACCCAGAGAGATGAACCTTTCCTTTGATAGAGCAGTTTTGAAACGTGTTTTTGTAAGATCTGCAAGCGGATAGTTGGCTTCGCTTTGTGTCCTTTGGTGGAAACGGGAATATCTTCTAATAAAAACTAGACAGAAATATTCTCAGAATCTTCTTCGTGATGTGGGCATTCAACTAACACAGTTGAACCTTTCTTTTCACAGAGCAGTTTTGAAACACCCTTTTGGTAGAATCTGCCAGTGGATATTTGGAGCGCTTTGAGGGCTATTGTGCCAACGGAAATATCTGCCCCTAAAAACTAGACAGAAGCATTCTCAGAAACTGCTTCGTGATGTTTGCATTCAACTCACAGGGTTGAACATACCTCTGCATGGAGCAGTTTTGAAAACCTCTTTTTGTAGAATCTGCAAGTGGATATTCGGACCACTTTGAGGCCTTCATAGGAAACAGTAATATCTTCACATAAAAACTAGATAGAAGCATTGTCAGAAAGTTCTTTGTGATGTGTGAATTCAACTCACAGAGTTGAACCTTCCTTCAATAGAGCAGTTGTGAAACATTCTTTTTCTAGAATCTGCAAGTAGATACTTGGAGCGCTTTGAGGCCTTCGTTGGAAACCGGAATATCTTCACAGGAAAAGTAGATAGAGGCATTCTCAGAAACTTTTTTGTGATATGTAGATTCAACTCACAGCGTTGAACCTTTCTTTGGATGGAGCAGTTTTGAAAAACTCTTTTATCGAATCTGCAGGTAGACATTTGGGGTGCTTTGAGGGCTGTGGTGCAAAAGGAAATGTTCTTCCCATAGAAACTAGACTGAAGCATTCTCAGCAACTTCTTGGTGACGTTTGCATTCATCTCACAGTGTTGAACATACCTTTCCATAGAGTGGTTTTGAAGCACTGTTTCTGTAGAATCGGCAAGTGGATATTTGGACTGCTTTGAGGCCTTCATCGGAAACGGGAATATCTTCACATAAACACTAGAGAGAAGCATTCTCAGAAACTTCTTTGTCATCTGTCCATTCAACTCACAGAGTTGAACCTTCCTTTTTATGGAGCAGTTTTGAAACACTCCTTTTGGAGAATCTGCAAGTGGATATTTGGAGCGCTTTGAGGCCTATGGTAGAAAAAGAAATATCTGCCTCTAAAAACCAGACGGAAGCATTCCGAGAAACTTCTGTGTGATGTTTGCATTCAACTAGCAGAGTTGAACCTTCCTTTTGATAGGGCAGTTTGGAAACACTCTTTTTGTAGAATCTGCATGTGGATATCTGGAGCGGTTTGAGGCCTACGGTCAAAAAGGAAATATCTTCCTGGGAAAAATAGACGAAAGCATTCTCAGAAAGTGCTTTGTGATATGTGCATTCGACTCAGCGAGCTGAAACTTTTTTTTGATAGAGCAGTTTTGAAACACTCTGTAGAATCTGAAAGTGGATATTTGGAGCTCTTTGAGGGCTATGGCGGAAAAGAAAATATATTCACATTAAAAAAGTAGACAGCAGCATTCTCAGAAACTTCTTTAGGATGTTTGCAGTAAACTCGCAGAGTTTAACATACCTTTCCGTAGAGCAGTTTTGAAACACTCTGTTTGTGGGATCCGCAAGTGGATATTTGGACCGCTTTGAGACCTTTGCTGGAAATGGGAATATCTTCACGTATAAACTAGACAGAAGCATTCTCAGAAACTTCTTTTTGATGTGTGCATTGTACTCCCAAATTTGAATCTTCCTTCTCATGTAGCAGTTTTGAAACACTCTGTTTGTGCAATCTACAATTGGATAATTGGAACCCTTTGATGCCCATGGTAGAAAAGGAAATATCCTCATATAAAAACTAGACAGAAGGATTCACAGAAAATGCTTTGTGATGTGTGCATTCAAATCACGGAGTTGAATCTTTCTTTTGTTAGAGCAGTTTTGAAACACTCTTTCTGTGGAATCTGCCAGCGGACACTTGGAGTGCTTTGAGGGCTGTGGTGGAGAAGGAAATATCTTCCCATAAAAACTAGAAAGAAGCATTCTCAGAAACATTTATGTGAAGCGTGCATTCAACTCACAGAGTTGAACCTTCCTTTTGATACAACAGTTTTGAAACACGCTTTTGAACAATTGCAGGTGAATCTTTGGAGCGCTTTGAAGCCTTTGTTGGAAATGGGAATATCTTCACACACAAACTAGCCAGAAGCATTCTCAGAAACTTCTTTGTGATGTGTGCGTTGAACCCAGAGAGATGAACCTTTCCTTTGATAGAGCAGTTTTGAAACGTGTTTTTGTAAGATCTGCAAGTGGATAATTGTCTTCGCTTTGTGTCCTTTGGTGGAAACGGGAATATCTTCTAATAAAAACTAGACAGAGATATTCTCAGAAATTTCTTTGTGATGTGGGCATTCATCTAACACAGTCGAAGATTTCTTTTCACAGAGCAGTTTTGAAACACTCTTTTGGTCGAATCTGCCAGTGGATATTTGGAGCGCTTTGAGGGCTATTGTGCCAATGGAAATATCTGCCCCTAAAAACTAGACAGAAGCATTCTCAGAAACTACTTTGTGATGTTTGCATTCAACTCACAGAGTTGAACATACCTCTTCATAGAGCAGTTTTGAAAACCTCTTTTGGTAGAATCTGCAAGTAGATATTCGGACCACTTTGAGGCCTTCATAGGAAACAGTAATACCTTCACATAAAAACTAGATAGAAGCATTGTCAGGAAGTTCTTTGTGATGTGTGAATTAAACTCACAGAGTTGAAACTTCCTTTAATAGAGCAGTGTTGAAACACTCTTTTTCTAGAATCTGCAAGGAGATATTTGGGGCGCTTGGAGGCCTTCGTTGTAAACCGGAATATCTTCACAGGAAATGTAGATAGACGCATTCTCAGAAACTCTTTGTGATATGTAGATTCAACTCACAGCGTTGAACCTTTCTTTGGATGGAGCAGTTTTGAAAAACTCTTTTATCGAATCTGCAGGTAGACATTTGGGGTGCTTTGAGGGCTGTGGTGCAAAAGGAAATGTCTTCCCATAGAAACTAGCCTGAAGCATTCTCAGCAAATTCCTTGTGACGTTTGCATTCATCTCACAGTGTTGAACATACCTTTCCATAGAGTAGTTTTGAAACACTATTTTTGTAGAATCTGCAAGTGGATATTTGGACTGCTTTGAGGCCTTCATCGGAAACGGGAATATCTTCACATAAACACTAGACAGAAGCATTCTCAGAAACTTCTTTGTGATCTCTCCATTCAACTCACAGAGTTGAACCTTCCTTTTTATGGAGCAGTTTTGAAACACTCCTTTTGGAGAATCTGCAAGTGGATATTTGGAGCGCGTTGAGGCCTATGGTAGAAAAAGAAATATCTGCCTCTAAAAACCAGACAGAAGCATTCTGAGAAACTTCTTTGTGATGTTTGCCTTCAACTACCAGAGTTGAACCTTCCTTTTGATAGGGCAGTTTGGAAACACTCTTTTTGTAGAATCTGCATGTGGATATCTGGAACGATTTGAGGCCTACGGTCCAAAAGGAAATATCTTCCTGGGAAAGATAGACGAAAGCATTCTCAGAAAGTGCTTTGTGATATGTGCATTCGACTCACCGAGTTGAAACCTTTTTTTGATAGAGCAGTTTTGAAACACTCTGTAGAATCTGAAAGTGGATATTTGGAGCTCTTTGAGGGCTATGGCGGAAAAGAAAATATATTCACATTAAAGTAGACAGCAGCATTCTCAGAAACTTCTTTAGGATGTTTGCAGTAAACTCACAGAGTTGAACATACCTTTCCGTAGAGCAGTTTTGAAACACTCTGTCTGTGGGATCCGCAAGTGGATATTTGGGCCGCTTTGAGACCTTTGCTGGAAATGGGAATATCTTCACATATAAACTAGACAGAAGCATTCTCAGAAACTTCCTCGTGATGTGTGCATTCTACTCCCGAATTTGAATCTTCCTTTTCATGAAGCAGTTTTGAAACACTCTGTTTGTGCAATCCACAATTGGATAATTGGAACGCTTTGATGCCCATGGTAGAAAAGGAAATATCCTCATATAAAAACTAGACAGAAGGATTCACAGAAAATGCTATGTGATGTGTGCATTCAAATCACGGAGTTGAATCTTTCTTTTGTCAGAGCAGTTTTGAAACACTGTTTCTGTGGAATCTGCCAGCGGACACTTGGAGCGCTTTGAGGGCTATGGTGGAGAAGGAAATATCTTCCCATAAAAACTAGAAAGAAATATTCTCAGAATCTTCTTTGTGATGTGGGCATTCAACTAACACAGTTGAACATTTCTTTTCACAGAACAGTTTTGAAACACTCTTTTGAACAATTGCAGGTGAATCTTTGGAGCGCTTTGAAGCCTTTGTTGGAAATAGGAATATATTCACACACAAACTAGCCAGAAGCATTCTCAGAAACTTCTTTGTGATGTGTGCGTTGAACCCAGAGAGATGAACCTTTCCTTGGATAGAGCAGTTTTGAAACGTGTTTTTGTAAGATCTGCAAGTGGATAATTGGCTTCGCTTTGTGTCCTTTGGTGGAAACGGGAATATCTTCTAATAAAAACTAGACAGAAATATTCTCACAATCGTCTTTGTGATGTGGGCATTCAACTAACACAGTTGAACATTTCTTTTCACAGAGCAGTTTTGAAACACTCTTTTGCTAGAATCTGCCAGTGGATACTTGGAGCGCTTTGAGGGCTATTGTGCCAATGGAGATATCTTCCCCTAAAAACTAGACAGAATCATTCTCAGAAACTGCTTTGTGATGTTTGCATTCAACTCACAGAGTTGAACCTACCTCTTCATAGAGCAGTTTGGAAAACCTCTTCTTGTAGAATCTGCAAGTGGATATTCGGACCACTTTGAGACCTTCATAGGAAACAGTAATATCTTCACATAAAAACTAGATAGAAGAATTGTCAGAAAGTTCTTTGTGATGTGTGAATTCAACTCACAGAGTTGAACCTTCCTTTAATAGAGTAGTTTTGAAACACTCTTTTTCTAGAATCTGCCAGTAGATATTTGGAGCGCTTTGAGGCCTTCGTTGGAAACCGGAATATCTTCACATAAAAAGTAGATAGAGGCATTCTCAGAAACTTTTTCGTGTTATGTGGATTCAACTCACAGCGTTGAACCTTTCTTTTGATAGAGCAGTTTTGTAAAACTCTTTTATCGAATCTGCAAGTAGACATTTGGAGTGCTTTGAGGGCTGTGGTGCAAAAGGAAATGTCTTCCCATAGAAACTAGACTGAAGCATTCTCAGCAACTTCTTGGTGACGTTTGCATTCATCTCACAGTGTTGAACATACGTTTCCATAGAGTGGTTTTGAAACACTGTTTTTGTAGAATCGGCAAGTGGATATTTGGACTGCTTTCAGGCCTTCATCGGAAACGGGAATATTCTTCACATAAACACTAGAGAGAAGCATTCTCAGAAACTTCTTTGTGATCTGTCCATTCAACTCACAGAGTTGAACCTTCCTTTTTATGGAGCAGTTTTGAAACACTGTTTTTGGAGAATCTGCAAGTGGATATTTGGAGCGCTTTGAGGCCTATGGTAGAAAAATAAATATCTGCCTCTAAAAACTAGACAGAAGCATTCTGAGAAACTTCTTTGTGATGTTTGCATTCAACTACCAGGGTTGAACCTTGCTTTTGATAGGTCAGTTTTGAAACACTCTTTTTGTAGAATCTGCATGTGGATATCTGGAGCGATTTGAGGCCTACGGTCCAAAAGGAAATATCTTCCTGGGAAAAATAGACGAAAGCATTCTCAGAAACTGCTTTGTGATATGTGCATTCGACTCTCCGAGTTGAAACTTTTTTTGGATAGAGCAGTTTTGAAACACTCTGTAGAATCTGAAAGTGGATATTTGGAGCTCTTTGAGGGCTATGGCGGAAAAGAAAAGATATTCACATTAAACTAGACAGCAGCATTCTCAGAAACTTCTTTAGGATGTTTGCAGTAAACTCACAGAGTTGAACATACCTTTCCGTAGAGCAGTTTTGAAACACTCTGTTTGTGGGATCCGCAAGTGGATATTTGGACCGCTTTGAGACCTTTGCTGGAAATGGGAATATCTTCACGTATAAAATAGACAGAAGCATTCTCAGAAACTTCTTCGTGATGTGTGCATTCTCCTCCCGAATTTGAATCTTCTTTTTCATGAAGCAGTTTTGAAACACTCTGTTTGTGCAATCCACAATTGGATAATTGGAACGCTTTGATGCCCATGGTAGAAAAGGAAATATCCTCATATAAAAACTAGACAGAAGGATTCACAGAAAATGCTTTGTGAAGTGTGCATTCAAATCACGGAGTTGAATCTTTCTTTTGTTAGAGCAGTTTTGAAACACTGTTTCTGTGGAATCTGCCAGCGGACACTTGGAGCGCTTTGAGGGCTGTGGTGGAGAAGGAAATATCTTCCCATAAAAACTAGAAAGAAGCATTCTCAGAACCATTTATGTGAAGCGTGCATTCAACTCACAGAGTTGAACCTTCCTTTTGATAGAACAGTTTTGAAACACTCTTTTGTACAATTGCAGGTGAATATTTGGAGGGCTTTGAAGCCTTTGTTGGAAATGGGAATATCTTCACACACAAAGTAGCCAGAAGCATTCTCAGAAACTTCTTTGTGATGTGTGCGTTGAACCCAGAGAGATGAACCTTTCCTTTGATAGAGCAGTTTTGAAACGTGTTTTTGTAAGATCTGCAAGGGGATAATGGGCTTCGCTTTGTGTCCTTTGGTGGAAACGGGAATATCTTCTAATAAAAACTAGACAGAAGCATTCTCAGAAACTTCTTTGTGATGTGTCCATTCAACTCACAGAGTTGAACCTTCCTTTTTATGGAGCCGTTTTGAAACACTGTTTTTGTAGAATCTGCAAGTGGATATTTGGAGCGCTTTGAAGCCTATGGTAGAGAAAGAAATATCTGCATATCAAAACTAGACAGAAGCATTCTCAGAAACTGCTTTGTGATGTTTGCATTCAACTACCAGAGTTGAACTTCCCTCTTCATAGAGCAGTTTTGAAATCCTCTTTTTGTAGAATCTGCAAGTGGATATTTGGACCACTTTGAGGCCTTCAGAAGAAATAGTAATATCTTCACATAAAAACTAGATAGTAGCATTCTCAGAAACTTCTTTGTGATGTGTGAATTCAACTCACAGAGTAGAACCTTCCTTCAATAGAGCAGTTTTCAAACACTCTTTTGGTAGAATCTGCAAGTAGATATTTGGAGCACTTTGAGGCCTTCATTGGAAACTGGAATATCTTCACATAAAAAGTAGATAGAGGCATGCTCAGAAACTTTTTTGTCATATGTAGATTCAACTCACAGCGTTGAACCTTTCTTTTGATAGAGCAGTTTCGAAAAACTCTTTTATCGAATCTGCAAGTAGACATTTGGAGTGCTTTGAGGGCTCTGGTGCAAAAGGAAATGTCTTCCCATAGAAACTAGACTGAAGCATTCTCAGCAACTTCTTTGTGACGTTTGCATTCATCTCACAGTGTTGAACATACCTTTCCATAGAGAAGTTTTGAAACACTAATTTTGTAGAATCTGCAAGTGGATATTTGGACTGCTTTGAGGCCTTCATCGGAAACGGGAATATCTTCACATAAACACTAGACAGAAGCATTCTCAGAAACTACTTTGTGATCTGTCCATTCAACTCACAGAGTTGAACCTTCCTTTTTATGGAGCAGTTTTGAAACACTGTTTTTGGAGAATCTGCAAGTGGATATTTAGAGCGCTTTGAGGCCTATGGTAGAAAAAGAAATATCTGCCTCTAAAAACTAGACAGAAGCATTCCGAGAAACTTCTTTGTGATGTTTGCATTCAACTAGCAGAGTTGAACCTTCCTTTTGATAGGGCAGTTTGGAAACACTCTTTTTGTAGAACCCGCATGTGGATATCTGGAGCGGTTTGAGGCCTACGGTCAAAAAGGAAATATCTTCCTGGGAAAAATAGACGAAAGCATTCTCAGAAAGTGCTTTGTGATATGTGCATTCGACTCACCGAGTTGAAACTTTTTTTTGATAGAGCAGTTTTGAAACACTCTGCAGAATCTGAAAGTGGATATTTGGAGCTCTTTGAGGGCTATGGCGGAAAAGAAATTATATTCACATTAAAGTAGACAGCAGCATGCCCAGAAACTTCTTTAGGATGTTTGCAGTAAACTCACAGAGTTGAACATACCTTTCCGTAGAGCAGTTTTGAAACACTCTGTTTGTGGGATCCGCAAGTGGATATTTGGACCGCTTTGAGACCTTTGCTGGAAACGGGAATATCTTCACATATAAACTAGACAGAAGCATTCTCAGAAACTTCCTCGTGATGTGTGCATTCTACTCCCGAATTTGAATCTTCCTTTTCATGAAGCAGTTTTCAAACACTCTGTTTGTGCAATCCACAATTGGATAATTGGAACGCTTTGATGCCCATGGTAGAAAAGGAAATATCCTCATATAAAAACTAGACAGAAGGATTCACAGAAAATGCTTTGTGATGTGTGCTTTCAAATCACGGAGTTGAATCTTTCTTTTGTCAGAGCAGTTTTGAAACACTGTTTCTGTGGAATCTGCCAGCGGACACTTGGAGCGCTTTGAGGGCTGTGGTGGAGAAGGAAATATCTTCCCATAAAAACTAGAAAGAGAAGCATTCTCAGAAACATTTATGTGAAGCGTGCATTCAACTCACAGAGTTGAACCTTCCTTTGGATACAACAGTTTTGAAACACTCTTTTGAACAATTGCAGGTGAATCTTTGGAGCGCTTTGAAGCCTTTGTTGGAAATGGGAATATCTTCACACACAAACTAACCAGAAGCATTCTCAGAAACTTCTTTGTGATGTGTGCGTTGAACCCAGAGAGATGAACCTTTCCGTTGATAGAGCAGTTTTGAAACGTGTTTTTGTAAGATCGGCAAGCGGATAATTGGCTTCGCTTTGTGTCCTTTGGTGGAAACGGGAATATCTTCTAATAAAAACTAGACAGAAATATTCTCAGAATCTCCTTTGTGATGTGGGCATTCAACTAACACAGTTGAACATTTCTTTTCACAGAGCAGTTTTGAAACACACTTTTGGTCGAATCTGCCAGTGGATATTTGGAGCGCTTTGAGGGCTGTTGTGCCAATGGAAATATCTGCCCCTAAAATCTAGACAGAAGCATTCTCAGAAACTACTTCGTGATGTTTGCATTCAACTCAGAGAGTTGAACATACCTCTTCACAGAGCACTTTTGAAAACCTCTTTTTGTAGAATCTGCAAGTGGATATTCGGAGCACTTTGAGGCCTTCATAGGAAACAGTAATATCTTCGCATAAAAACTAGATAGAAGCATTGTCAGAAAGTTCTTTGTGATGTGTGAATTCAACTCACAGAGTTGAACCTTCCTTTAATAGAGCAGTTTTGAAACACTCTTTTTCGAGAATCTGCCAGTAGATATTTGGAGCGCTTTGAGGCCTTCGTTGGAAACCGGAATATCTTCACATAAAAAGTAGATAGAGGCATTCTCAGAAACTTTTTTGTGATATGTAGATTCAACTCACAGCGTTGAATCTTTCTTTGGATGGAGCAGTTTTGAAAAACTCTTTTATCGAATCTGCAGGTAGACATTTGGGGTGCTTTGCGGGCTCTGGTGCAAAAGGAAAAGTCTTCCCATAGAAACTAGACTGAAGCATTCTCAGCAACTTCTTTGTGACGTTTGCATTCATCTCACAGTGTTGAACATACCTTTCCATCGAGTACTTTTGAAACACTGTTTTTGTAGAATCTGCAAGTGGATATGTGGACTGCTTTGAGGCCTTCATCGGAAACGGGAATATCTTCACATAAACACTAGAGAGAAGCATTCTCAGAAACTTCTTTGTGGTCTGTCCATTCAAATCACAGAGTTGAACCTTCCTTTTTATGGAGCAGTTTTGAAACACTGTTTTTGGAGAATCTGCAAGTGGATATTTGGAGCGCTTTGAGGCCTATGGTAGAAAAAGAAATATCTGCCTATGACAAATAGACAGAAGCATTCTGAGAAACTTCTTTGTGATGTTTGCATTCAACTACCAGAGTTGAACCTTCCTTTTGATAGGGCAGTTTGGAAACACTCTTTTTGTAGAATCTGCATGTGGATATCTGGAGTGATTTGAGGCCTACGGTCCAAAAGGAAATATCTTCCTGGGAAAAAAAGACGAAAGAATTCTCAGAAACTGCTTTGTGATATGTGCATTCGACTCACCGAGTTGAAACTTTTTTTTGATAGAGCAGTTTTGAAACACTCTGTAGAATCTGAAAGTGGATATTTGGAGCTCTTTGAGGGCTATGGCGGAAAAGAAAATATATTCACATTAAACTAGACAGCAGCATTCCCAGAAACTTCTTTAGGATGTTTGCAGTAAACTCACAGAGTTGAACATACCTTTCCGTAGAGCAGTTTTGAAACACTCTGTTTGTGGGATCCGCAAGTGGATATTTGGACCGCTTTGAGACCTTTGCTGGAAACGGGAATATCTTCACATATAAACTAGATAGAAGCATTCTCAGAAACGTCTTCGTGATGTGTGCATTGTACTCCCAAATTTGAATCTTCCTTCTCATGGAGCAGTTTTGAAACACTCTGTTTGTGCAATCTACAATTGGAGAATTGGAAGGCTTAGATGACCGTGGTAGAAAAGGAAATATCCTCATATAAAAACTAGACAGAAGGATTCACAGAAAATGCTTTGTGATGTGTGCATTCAAATCACGGAGTTGAATCTTTCTTTTGTTAGAGCAGTTTTGAAACACTGTTTCTGTGGAATCTGCCAGCGGACACTTGGAGCGCTTTGAGGGTTATGGTGGAGAAGGAAATATCTTCACATAAAAACTAGAAAGAAAGCATTCTCAGTAAACATTTATGTGAAGCGTGCATTCAACTCACAGAGTTGAACCTTCCTTTGGATACAACAGTTTTGAAACACTCTTTTGAACAATTGCAGGTGAATCTTTGGAGCGCTTTGAAGCCTTTGTTGGAAATGGGAATATCTTCACACACAAACTAGCCAGAAGCATTCTCAGAAACTTCTTTGTGATGTGTGCGTTGAACCCAGAGAGATGAACCTTTCCTTGGATAGAGCAGTTTTGAAACGTGTTTTTGTAAGATCGGCAAGCGGATAATTGGCTTCGCTTTGTGTCCTTTGGTGGAAACGGGAATATCTTCTAATAAAAACTAGACAGAAATATTCTCACAATCATCTTTGTAATGTGGGCATTCAACTAACACAGTTGAACATTTCTTTTCACAGAGCAGTTTTGAAACACTCTTTTCCTAGAATCTGCCAGTGGATACTTGGAGCGCTTTGAGGGCTATTGTGCCAATGGAGATATCTTCCCCTAAAAACTAGACAGAAGCATTCTCAGAAACTGCTTCGTGATGTTTGCATTCAACTCACAGGGTTGAACATACCTCTGCATAGAGCAGTTTTGAAAACCTCTTTTTGTAGAATCTGCCAGTGGATATTCGGACCACTTTGAGGCCTTCATAGGAAACAGTAATATCTTCACATAAAAACTAGATAGAAGCATTGTCAGAAAGTTCTTTGTGATGTGTGAATTCAACTCACAGAGTTGAACCTTCCTTTAGTAGAGCAGTTTTGAAACACTCTTTTTCTAGAATATGCAAGTAGATATTTGGAGCGCTTTGAGGCCTTCGTTGAAAACCGGAATATCTTCACATAGAAAGTAGATAGAGGCATTCTCAGAAACTTTTTTGTGATATGTTGATTCATCTGACAGCGTTGAACCTTTCTTTTGATAGAGCAGTTTTGAAAAACTCTTTTGTTGAATCTGCAAGTAGACATTTGGAGTGCTTTGAGGGCTGTGGTGCCAAAGGAAATGTCTTCCCATGGAAACTAGACTGAAAGCATTCTCAGCAACTTCTTTGTGACGTTTGCATTGATCTCACAGTGTTGAACATACCTTTGCATAGAGTAGTTTTGAAACACTATTTTTGTAGAATCTGCAAGTGGATATTTGGACTGCTTTGAGGCCTCCATCGGAAACGGGAATATCTTCACATAAACACTGGACAGAAGCATTCTCAGAAACTTCTTTGTGATCTGTCCATTCAACTCACAGAGTTGAACCTTCCTTTTTATGGAGCAGTTTTGAATCACTGTGTTTGGAGAATCTGCAAGTGGATATTTCGAGCGCTTTGAGGCCTATGGTAGAAAAAGAAATATCTGCCTCTAAAAACCAGACAGAAGCATTCCGAGAAACTTCTTTGTGATGTTTGCATTCAACTAGCAGAGTTGAACCTTCCTTTTGATAGGGCAGTTTGGAAACACTCTTTTTGTAGAATCTGCATGTGGATATCTGGAGCGGTTTGAGGCCTACGGTCAAAAAGGAAATATCTTCCTGGGAAAAATTGACGAAAGCATTCTCAGAAAGTGCTTTGTGATATGTGCATTCGACTCACCGAGTTGAAACTTTTTTTTGATACAGCAGTTTTGAAACACTCTGTAGAATCTGAAAGTGGATATTTGGAGCTCTTTGAGGGCTATGGCGGAAAAGAAAATATATTCACATTAAAGTAGACAGCAGCATTCTCAGAAACTTCTTTAGGATGTTTGCAGTAAACTCACAGAGTTGAACCTACCTTTCTGTAGAGCAGTTTTGAAACACTCTGTTTGTGGGATCCGCAAGGGGATATTTGGACCGCTTTGAGACCTTTGCTGGAAATGGGAATATCTTCACATATAAACTAGACAGAAGCATTCTCAGAAACTTCTTCGTGTTGTGTGCATTCTCCTCCCGAATTTGAATCTTCCTTTTCATGAAGCAGTTTTGAAACACTCTGTTTGTGCAATCCACAATTGGATAATTGGAACGCTTTGATGCCCATGGTAGAAAAGGAAATATCCTCATATAAAAACTAGACAGAAGGATTCACAGAAAATGCTTTGTGATGTGTGCATTCAAATCACGGAGTTGAATCTTTCTTTTGTCAGAGCAGTTTTGAAACACTGTTTCTGTGGAATCTGCCAGGGGACACTTGGAGCGCTTTGAGGGCTATGGTGGAGAAGGAAATATCTTCCCATAAAAACTAGAGAGAAGCATTCTCAGAAACATTTATGTGAAGCGTGCATTCAACTCACAGAGTTGAACCTTCCTTTTGATAGAACAGTTTTGAAACACTCTTTTGAACAATTGCAGGTGAATCTTTGGAGCGCTTTGAAGCCTTTGTTGGAATTGGGAATATCTTCACACACAAACTAGCCAGAAGCATTCTCAGAAACTTCTTTGTGATGCGTGCGTTGAACCCAGAGAGATGAACCTTTCCTTTGATAGAGCAGTTTTGAAACGTGTTTTTGTAAGGTCTGCAAGCGGATAATCGGCTTCGCTTTGTGTCCTTTGGTGGAAACGGGAATATCTTCTAATAAAAACTAGACAGAAATATTCTCAGAATCTCCTTTGTGATGTGGGCATTCAACTAACACAGTTGAACATTTCTTTTCACAGAGCAGTTTTGAAACACTCTTTTGGTAGAATCTGCCAGTGGATATTTGGAGCGCTTGGAGGGCTACTGTGCCAATGGAAATATCTGCCCCTGAAAACTAGACAGAAGCATTCTCAGAAACTACTTCGTGATGTTTGCATTCAACACACAGAGTTGAACATACCTCTTCACAGAGCAGTTTTGAAAACCTCTTTCTGGAGAATCTGCAAGTGGATATTCGGACCACTTTGAGGCCTTCATAGGAAACAGTAATATCTTCACATAAAAACTAGATAGAAGCATGGTCAGAAAGTTCTTTGTGATGTGTGAATTCAACTCACAGAGTTGAACCTTCCTTTAATAGAGCAGTTTTGAAACACTCTTTTTCTAGAATCTGCAAGTAGATATTTGGAGCGCTTTGAGGCCTTCGTTGGAAACCGGAATATCTTCACAGGAAAAGTAGATAGAGGCATTCTCAGAAGCTTTTTTGTGATATGTAGATTCAACTCACAGTGTTGAACCTTTCTTTGGATGGAGCAGTTTTGAAAAACTCTTTTATCGAATCTGCAGGTAGACATTCGGGGTGCTTTGAGGGCTGTGGTGCAAAAGGAAATGTCTTCCCATAGAAACTAGACTGAAGCATTCTCAGCAACTTCTTGGTGACGTTTGCATTCATCTCACAGTGTTGAACATACCTTTCCATAGAGTGGTTTTGAAACACTGTTTTTGTAGAATCGGCAAGTGGATATTTGGACTGCTTTGAGGCCTTCATCGGAAACGGGAATATCTTCAAATAAACACTAGAGAGAAGCATTCTCAGAAACTTCTTTGTGGTCTGTCCATTCAACTCACAGAGTTGAACCTTCCTTTTTATGGAGCAGTTTTGAAACACTGTTTTCGGAGGATCTGCAAGTGGATATTTGGAGCACTTTGAGGCCTATGGTAGAAAAAGAAATATCTGCCTATGACAACTAGACAGAAGCATTCCGAGAAACTTCTCTGTGATGTTTGAATTCAAGTAGCAGAGTTGAACCTTCCTTTTGATAGGGTAGTTTGGAAACACTCTTTTTGTAGAATCTGCATGTGGATATCTGGAGCGGTTTGAGGCCTACGGTCAAAAAGGAAATATCTTCCTGGGAAAAATAGACGAAAGAATTCTCAGAAACTGCTTTGTGATATGTGCATTCGACTCACCGAGTTGAAACTTTTTTTTTGATAGAGCAGTTTTGAAACACTCTGTAGAATCTGAAAGTGGATATTTGGAGCTCTTTGAGGGCTATGGCGGAAAAGAAAATATATTCACATTAAACTAGACAGCAGCATTCCCAGAAACTTCTTTAGGATGTTTGCAGTAAACTCACAGAGTTGAACATACCTTTCCGTAGAGCAGTATTGAAACACTCTGTTTGTGGGATCCGCAAGTGGATATTTGGACCGCTTTGAGACCTTTGCTGGAAACGGGAATATCTTCACATATAAACTAGACAGAAGCATTCTCAGAAACTTCTTCGTGATGTGTGCATTCTCCTCGCGAATTTGAATCTTCCTTTTCATGAAGCAGTTTTGAAACACTCTGTTTGTGCAATCCACAATTGGATAATTGGAACGCTTTGATGCCCATGGTAGAAAAGGAAGTATCCTCATATAAAAACTAGACAGAAGGATTCACAGAAAATGCTTTGTGTTGTGTGCATTCAAATCACGGAGTTGAATCTTTCTTTTGTCAGAGCAGTTTTGAAACACTGTTTCTGTGGAATCTGCCAGCGGACACTTGGAGCGCTTTGAGGGCTATGGTGGAGAAGGAAATATCTTCCCATAAAAACTAGAAAGAAGCATTCTCGGAATCATTTATGTGAAGCGTGCCTTCAACTCACAGAGTTGAACCTTCCTTTTGATAGAACAGTTTTGAAACACTCTTTTGAACAATTGCAGGTGAATCTTTGGAGCGCTTTGAAGCCTTTGTTGGAAATGGGAATATCTTCACACACAAACTAGCCAGAAGCATTCTCAGAAACTTCTTTGTGATGTGTGCGTTGAACCCAGAGAGATGAACCTTTCCTTTGATAGAGCAGTTTTGAAACGTGTTTTTGTAAGATGCTGCAAGCGGATAATTGGCTTCGCTTTGTGTCCTTTGGTGGAAACGGGAATATCTTCTAATAAAAACTAGACAGAAATATTCTCAGAATCTTCTTTGTGATGTGGGCATTCAACAAACACAGTTGAACATTTCTTTTCACAGAGCAGTTTTGAAACACTCTTTTGGTAGAATCTGCCAGTGGATATTTGGAGCGCTTTGAGGGCTATTGTGCCAATGGAAATATCTTCCCCTAAAAACTAGACAGAAGCATTCTCAGAAACTACTTCGTGATGTCTGCATTCAACACACAGAGTTGAACATACCTCTTCAGAGAGCAGTTTTGAAAACCTCTTTCTGTAGAATCTGCAAGTGGATATTCGGGCCACTTTGAGGCCTTCATAGGAAACAGTAATATCTTCACATAAAAACTAGATAGAAGCATTGTCAGAAAGTTCTTTGTGATGTGTGAATTCAACTCACAGAGTTGAACCTTCCTTCAATAGAGCAGTTTTGAAACACTCTTTTTCTAGAATCTGCAAGTAGATATTTCGAGCGCTTTGAGGCCTTCGTTGGAAACCGGAATATCTTCACAGGAAAAGTAGATAGAGGCATTCTCAGAAACATTTTTGTGATATGTAGATTCAACTCACAGCGTTGAACCTTTCTTTGGATGGAGCAGTTTTGAAAAACTCTTTTATCGAATCTGCAGGTAGACATTTGGGGTGCTTTGAGGGCTGTGGTGCAAAAGGAAATGTCTTCCCATAGAAACTAGACTGAATCATTCTCAGCAACTTCTTGGTGACGTTTGCATTCATCTCACAGTGTTGAACATACCTTTGCATAGAGTAGTTTCGAAACACTATTTTTGTAGAATCTGCAAGTGGACATTTGGACTGCTTTGAGGCCTTCATCGGAAACGGGAATATCTTCACATAAACACTAGACAGAAGCATTCTCAGAAACTTCTTTGTGGTCTGTCCATTCAACTCACAGAGTTGAACCTTCCTTTTTATGGAGCAGTTTTGAAACACTGTTTTTGGAGGATCTGCAAGTGGATATTTGGAGCGCTTTGAGGCCCATCGTAGAAAAAGAAATATCTGCCTATGACAACTAGACAGAAGCATTCTGAGTAAACTTCTTTGTGATGTTTGCATTCAACTACCAGAGTTGAATCTTCCTTTTGATAGGGCAGTTTGGAAACACTCTTTTTGTAGAATCTGCATGTGGATATCTGGAGCGATTTGAGGCCTACGGTCCAAAAGGAAATATCTTCCTGGGAAAAATAGAGGAAAGCATTCTCAGAAAGTGCTTTGTGATATGTGCATTCGACTCACCGATTTGAAACCTTTTTTTGATAGAGCAGTTTTAAAACACACTGTAGAATCTGAAAGTGGATATTTGGAGCTCTTTGAGGGCTATGGCGGAAAAGAAAATATATTCACATTAAAGTAGACAGCAGCATTCCCAGAAACTTCTTTAGGATGTTTGCAGTAAACTCACAGAGTTGAACATACCTTTCCGTAGAGCAGCTTTGAAACACTCTGTTTGTGGGATCCGCAAGTGGATATTTGGACCGCTTTGAGACCTTTGCTGGAAACGGGAATATCTTCACATATAAACTGGACAGAAGCATTCTCAGAAACTTCTTCGTGATGTGTGCATTCTACTCCCGAATTTGAATCTTCCTTTTCATGAAGCAGTTTTGAAACACTCTGTTTGTGCAATCCACAATTGGATAATTGGAACGCTTTGATGTCCATGGTAGAAAAGGAAATATCCTCATATAAAAACTAGACAGAAGGATTCACAGAAAATGCTTTGTGATGTGTGCATTCAGATCACGGAGTTGAATCTTTCTTTTGTGAGAGCAGTTTTGAAACACTGTTTCTGTGCAATCTGCCAGCGGACACTTGGAGCGCTTTGAGGGCTATGGTGGAGAAGGAAATATCTTCACATAAAAACTAGAAAGAAGCATTCTCAGAAACATTTATGTGAAGCGTGCCTTCAACTCACAGAGTTGAACCTTCCTTTTGATACAACAGTTTTGAAACACTCTTTGGAACAATTGCAGGTGAATCTTTGGAGCGCTTTGAAGCCTTTGTTGGAAATGGGAATATCTTCACACACAAACTAGCCAGAAGCATTCCCAGAAACTTCTTTGTGATGTGTGCGTTGAACCCAGAGAGATGAACCTTTCCTTTGATAGAGCAGGTTTGAAACGTGTTTTTGTAAGATCTGCAAGCGGATAATTGGCTTTGCTTTGTGTCCCTTGGTGAAAACGGGAATATCTTCTAATAAAAACTAGACAGAAATATTCTCACAATCATCTTTGTGATGTGGGCATTCAACTAACACAGTTGAAGATTTCTTTTCACAGAGCAGTTTTGAAACACTCTTTTGCTAGAATCTGCCAGTGGATACTTGGAGCGCTTTGAGGGATATTGTGCCAATGGAAATATCTTCCCCTAATAACTAGACAGAAGCATTCTCAGAAACTACTTCGTGATGTTTGCATTCAACTCACAGCGTTGAACATACCTCTTCATAGAGCAGTTTTGAAAACCTCTTTCTGTAGAATCTGCAAGTGGATATTCGGACCACTTTGAGGCCTTCATAGGAAACAGTAATATCTTCACATAAAAACTAGATAGAAGCATTGTCAGAAAGTTCTTGGTGATGTGTGAATTAAACTCACAGAGTTGAACCTTCCTTTAATAGAGCAGTTTTGAAACACTCTTTTTCTAGAATCTGCAAGTAGATATTTGGAGCGCTTTGAGGCCTTCGTTGGAAACCGGAATATCTTCACAGGAAAAGTAGATAGAGGCATTCTCAGAAACTTTTTTGTGATATGTAGATTCAACTCACAGCGTTGAACCTTTCTTTGCATGGAGCAGTTTTGAAAAACTCTTTTATCGAATCTGCAGGTAGACATTTGGGGTGCTTTGAGGGCTCTGGTGCAAAAGGAAAAGTCTTCCCATAGAAACTAGACTGAAGCATTCTCAGCAACTTCTTGGTGACGTTTGCATTCATCTCACAGTGTTGAACATACCTTTCCATAGAGTGGTTTTGAAACACTGTTTTTGTAGAATCGGCAAGTGGATATTTGGACTGCTTTGAGGCCTTCATCGGAAACGGGAATATCTTCACATAAACACTACAGAGAAGCATTCTCAGAAACTTCTTTGTCATCTGTCCATTCAACTCACAGAGTTGCACCTTCTTTTTTATGGAGCAGTTTTGAAACACTCCTTTTGGAGAATCTGCAAGTGGATATTTGGAGCGCTTTGAGGCCTATGGTAGAAAAAGAAATATCTGCCTCTAAAAACCAGACAGAAGCATTCCGAGAAACTCCTTTGTGATGTTTGCATTCAACTAGCAGAGTTGAACCTTCCTTTTGATAGGGCAGTTTGGAAACACTCTTTTTGTAGAATCTGCATGTGGATATCTGGAGCGGTTTGAGGCCTACGGTCAGAAAGGAAATATCTTCCTGGGAAAAATAGACGAAAGCATTCTCAGAAAGTGCTTTGTGATATGTGCATTCGACTCACCGAGTTGAAACTTTTTTTTGATAGAGCAGTTTTGAAACACTCTGCAGAATCTGAAAGTGGATATTTGGAGCTCTTTGAGGGCTATGGCGGAAAAGAAAATATATTCACAGTAAAGTAGACAGCAGCATTCCCAGAAACTTCTTTAGGATGTTTGCAGTAAACTCACAGAGTTGAACATACCTTTCCGTAGAGCAGCTTTGAAAAACTCTGTGTGTGGGATCCGCAAGTGGATATTTGGACCGCTTTGAGACCTTTGCTGGAAACGGGAATATCTTCACATATAAACTGGACAGAAGCATTCTCAGAAAATTCTTCGTGATGTGTGCATTGTACTCCCAAATTTGAATCTTCCTTCTCATGGAGCAGTTTTGAAACACTCTGTTTGTGCAATCTACAATTGGAGAATTGGAACGCTTGGATGCCCGTGGTAGAAAAGGAAATATCCTCATATAAAAACTAGACAGAAGGATTCACAGAAAATGCTTTGTGATGTGTGCATTCAAATCACGGAGTTAAATCTTTCTTTTGTTAGAGCAGTTTTGAAACACTGTTTCTGTGGAATCTGCCAGCGGACCCTTGGAGCGCTTTGAGGGCTACGGTGGAGAAGGAAATATCTTCACATAAAAACTAGAAAGAAGCATTCTCGGAAACATTTATGTGAAGCGTGCATTCAACTCACAGAGTTGAACCTTCCTTTTGATAGAACAGTTTTGAAACACTCTTTTGAACAATTGCAGGTGAATCTTTGGAGCGCTTTGAAGCCTTTGTTGGAAATGGGAATATCTTCACACACAAACTAGCCAGAAGCATTCTCAGAAACTTCTTTGTAATGTGTGCGTTGAACCCAGAGAGATGAACCTTTCCTTCGATAGAGCAGTTTTGAAACGTGTTTTTGTAAGATCGGCAAGCGGATAATTGGCTTCGCTTTGTGTCCTTTGGTGGAAACGGGAATATACTTCTAATAAAAACTAGACAGAAATATTCTCAGAATCTCCTTTGTGATGTGGGCATTCAACTAACACAGTTGAACATTTCTTTTCACAGAGCAGTTTTGAAACACTCTTTTGGTAGAATCTGCATGTGGATATTTGGAGCGCTTGGAGGGCTATTGTGCCAATGGAAATATCTGCCCCTGAAAACTAGACAGAAGCATTCTCAGAAACTGCTTCAGGATGTTTGCATTCAACTCACAGAGTTGAACATACCTCTGCATAGAGCAGTTTTGAAAACCTCTTTTTGTAGAATCTGCAAGTGGATATTCGGACCACTTTGAGGCCTTCATGGGAAACAGTAATATCTTCACATAAAAACTAGATAGAAGCATTGTCAGAAAGTTCTTTGTGATGTGTGAATTCAACTCACAGAGTTGAACCTTCCTTTAATAGAGCAGTCTTGAAACACTCTTTTTCTAGAATCTGCAAGTAGATATTTGGAGCGCTTTGAGGCCTTCGTTGGAAACCGGAATATCTTCACATAAAACGTAGATAGAGGCATTCTCAGAAACTTTTTTTGTGATATGTAGATTCAACTCACAGCGTTGAACCTTTCTTTGGGTGGAGCAGTTTTGAAAACCTCTTTTATCGAATCTGCAGGTAGACATTTGGGGTGCTTTGAGGGCTGTGGTGCAAAAGGAAATGTCTTCCCATAGAAACTAGACTGAAGCATTCTCAGCAACTTCTTTTTGACGTTTGCATTCATCTCACAGTGTTGAACATACCTTTCCATAGAGTAGTTTTGAAGCACTATTTTTGTAGAATCTGCAAGTGGATATTTGGACTGCTTTGAGACCTTCATCGGAAACGGGAATATCTTCACATAAACACTAGACAGAAGCATTCTCGGAAATTACTTTGTGGTCTGTCCATTCAAATCACAGAGTTGAACCTTCCTTTTTATGGAGCAGTTTTGAAACACTGTTTTCGGAGAATCTGCAAGTGGATATTTGGAGCGCTTTGAGGCCTATGGTAGAAAAAGAAATATCTGCCTATGACAACTAGACAGAAGCATTCCGAGAAACTTCTTTGTGATGTTTGCATTCAACTAGCAGAGTTGAACCTTTCTTTTGATAGGGCAGTTTGGAAAAACTCTTTTTGTAGAATCTGCATGTGGATATCTGGAGCGGTTTGAGGCCTACAGTCAAAAAGGAAATATCTTCCTGGGAAAAATAGACGAAAGCATTCTCAGAAACTGCTTTGTGATATGTGCATTCGACTCACCGAGTTGAAACTTTTTTTGGATAGAGCAGTTTTGAAACACTCTGTAGAATCTGAAAGTGGATATTTGGAGCTCTTTGAGGGCTATGGAGAAAAGAAAATATATTCACATTAAACTAGACAGCAGCATTCCCAGAAACTTCTTTAGGATGTTTGCAGTAAACTCACAGAGTTGAACACACCTTTCCGTAGAGCAGTTTTGAAACACTCTGTTTGTGGAATCCGCAAGTGGATATTTGGACCGCTTTGAGACCTTTGCTGGAAACGGGAATATCTTCACATATAAACTGGACAGAAGAATTCTCAGAAACTTCTTCGTGATGTGTGCATTCTACTCCCAAATTTGAATCTTCCTTTTCATGAAGCAGTTTTGAAACACTCTATTTGTGCATTCTACAATTGGATGATTGGAACGCTTTGATGCCCATGGTGGGAAAAGGAAATATCCTCATATAAAAACTAGACAGAAGGATTCACAGAAAATGCTTTGTGATGTGTGCATTCAAATCACGGAGTTGAATCTTTCTTTTGTTAGAGCAGTTTTGAAACACTGTTTCTGTGGAATCTGCCAGCGGACACTTGGAGCGCTTTGAGGGCTGTGGTGGAGAAGGAAATATCTTCCCATAAAAACTAGAAAGTAGCATTCTCGGAAACATTTATGTGAAGCGTGCATTCAACTCACAGAGTTGAACCTTCCTTTTGATAGAAGAGTTTTGAAACACTCTTTTGAACAATTGCAGGTGAATCTTTGGAGCGCTTTGAAGCCTTTGTTGGAAATGGGAATATCTTCACACACAAACTAGCCAGAAGCATTCTCAGAAACTTCTTTGTGATGTGTGCGTTGAACCCAGAGAGATGAACCTTTCCTTTGATAGAGCAGTTTTGAAACGTGTTTTTGTAAGATCGGCAAGCGGATAACTGGCTTCGCTTTGGGTCCTTTGGTGGAAACGGGAATATCTTCTAATAAAAACTAGACAAAAATATTCTCAGAATCTTCTTTGTGATGTGGGCATTCAACTAACACAGTTGAACGTTTCTTTTCACAGAGCAGTTTTGAAACACTCTTTTGGTAGAATCTGCCAGTGGATATTTGGAGCGCTTTGAGGGCTATTGTGCCAATGGAAATATCTGCCCTTAAAACTAGACAGAAGCATTCTCAGAAACTGCTTTGTGATGTTTGCATTCCACTCACAGAGTTGAACATACCTTTTCATAGAGCAGTTTTGAAAACCTCTTTTTGTAGAATCTGCAAGTGGATATTCGGACCAGTTTGAGGCCTTCATAGGAATCAGTAATATCTTCACATAAAAACTAGATAGAAGCATTGTCAGAAAGTTGTTGGTGATGTGTGAATTCAACTCACAGAGTTGAACCTTCCTTTAATAGAGCAGTTTTGAAACACTCTTTTTCTAGAATCTGCAAGTAGATATTTGGAGCGCTTTGAGGCCTTCGTTGGAAACCGGAATATCTTCACAGGAAAAGTAGATAGAGGCATTCTCAGAAAATTTTCGTGATATGTGGATTCAACTCACAGCGTTGAACCTTTCTTTTGATAGAGCAGTTTTGTAAAACTCTTTTATCGAATCTGCAAGTAGACATTTGGAGTGCTTTGAGGGCTGTGGTGCAAAAGGAAATGTCTTCCCATAGAAACTAGACTGAAGCATTCTCAGCAACTTCTTTGTGACGTTTGCATTCATCTCACAGTGTTGAACATACCTTTCCATAGAGTAGTTTTCAAACACTATTTTTGTAGAATCTGCAAGTGGATATTTGGACTGCTTTGAGGCCTTCATCGGAAACGGGAATATCTTCACATCAACACTAGAGAGAAGCATTCTCAGAAACTACTTTGTGATCTGTCCATTCAACTCACAGAGTTGAACCTTCCTTTTTATGGAGCAGTTTTGAAACAATGTTTTTGGAGAATCTGCAAGTGGATATTTGGAGCGCTTTGAGGCCTATGGTAGAAAAAGAAATATCTGCCTCTAAAAACTAGACAGAAGCATTCTGAGAAACTTCTTTGTGATGTTTGCATTCAACTAGCAGAGTTGAACCTTCCTTTTGATAGGGCAGTTTGGAAACACCCTTTTGTAGAATCTGCATGTGGATATCTGGAGCGATTTGAGGCCTACGGTCAAAAAGGAAATATCTTCCTGGGAAAAATAGACGAAAGCATTCTCAGTAAACTGCTTTGTGATATGTGCATTCGACTCTCCGAGTTGAAACTTTTTTTTGATAGAGCAGTTTTGAAACACTCTGTAGAATCTGAAAGTGGATATTTGGAGCTCTTCGAGGGCTATGGCGGAAAAGAAAATATATTCACATTAAACTAGACAGCAGCATTCTCAGAAACCTCTTTAGGATGTTTGCAGTAAACTCACAGAGTTGAACATACCTTTCCGTAGAGCAGTTTTGAAACACTCTGTTTGTGGGATCCGCAAGTGGATATTTGGACCGCTTTGAGACCTTTGCTGGAAATGGGAATATCTTCACATATAAACTAGACAGAAGCATTCTCAGAAACTTCTTCATGATGTGTGCATTCTACTCCCAAATTTGAATCTTCCTTTTCATGAAGCAGTTTTGAAACACTCTGTTTGTGCAATCCACAATTGGATAATTGGAACGCTTTGATGCCCATGGTAGAAAAGGAAATATCCTCATATAAAAACTAGACAGAAGGATTCACAGAAAATGCTTTGTGATGTGTGCATTCAAATCACGGAGTTGAATCTTTCTTTTGTCAGAGCAGTTTTGAAACACTGTTTCTGTGGAATCTGCCAGCGGACACTTGGAGCGCTTTGAGGGCTATGGTGGAGAAGGAAATGTCTTCCCATAAAAACTAGAAAGAAGCATTCTCAGAAACATTTATGTGAAGCGTGCATTCAACTCACAGAGTTGAACCTTCCTTTTGATAGAAGAGTTTTGAAACACTCTTTTGAACAATTGCAGGTGAATATTTGGAGCGCTTTGAAGCCTTTGTTGGAAATGGGAATATCTTCACACACAAACTAGCCAGAAGCATTCTCAGAAACTTCTTTGTGATGTGTGCATTGAACCCAGAGAGATGAACCTTTCCTTTGATAGAGCAGTTTTGAAACGTGTTTTTGTAAGATCTGCAAGCGGATAGTTGGCTTCGCTTTGTGTCCTTTGGTGGAAACGGGAATATCTTCTAATAAAAACTAGACAGAGATATTCTCAGCAAACTTCTTTGTGATGTGGGCATTCAACTGACACAGTTGAACATTTCTTTTCACAGAGCAGTTTTGAAACACTCTTTTGGTCGAATCTGCCAGTGGATATTTGGAGCGCTTTGAGGGCTATTGTGCCAATGGAAATATCTGCCCCTAAAAACTAGACAGAAGCATTCTCAGAAACTACTTCGTGATGTTTGCATTCAACTCACAGAGTTGAACATACCTCTTCACAGAGCAGTATTGAAAACCTCTTTTTGTAGAATCTGCAAGTGGATATTCGGAGCACTTTGAGGCCTTCATAGGAAACAGTAATATCTTCGCATAAAAACTAGATAGAAGCATTGTCAGAAAGTTCTTTGTGATGTGTGAATTCAACTCACAGAGTTGAACCTTCCTTTAATAGAGCAGTTTTGAAACACTCTTTTTCTAGAATCTGCAAGTAGATATTTGGAGCGCTTGGAGGCCTTCGTTGGAAACCGGAACATCTTCACAGGAAATGTAGATAGAGGCATTCTCAGAAACTTTTTCGTGATATGTGGATTCAACTCACAGCGTTGAACCTTTCTTTTGATAGAGCAGTTTTGTAAAACTCTTTTATCGAATCTGCAAGTAGACATTTGGAGTGCGTTGAAGGCTGTGGTGCAAAAGGAAATGTCTTCCCATAGAAACTAGACTGAAGCATTCTCAGCAACTTCTTTGTGACGTTTGCCTTCATCTCACAGTGTTGAGCATACCTTTCCATAGAGTTGTTTTGAAGCACTATTTTTGTAGAATCTGCAAGTGGATATTTGGACTACTTTGAGGCCTTCATCGGAAACGGGAATATCTTCACATAAACACTAGACAGAAGCATTCTCAGAAACTTCTTTGTCATCTGTCCATTCAACTCACAGAGTTGAACCTTCCTTTTTATGGAGCAGTTTTGAATCACTGTTTTTGGGGAATCTGCAAGTGGATATTTCGAGCGCTTTGAGGCCTATGGTAGAAAAAGAAATATCTGCCTCTAAAAACCAGACAGAAGCATTCTGAGAAACTTCTTTGTGATGTTTGCATTCAACTAGCAGAGTTGAACCTTCCTTTTGATAGGGCAGTTTGGAAACACTCTTTTTGTAGAATCTGCATGTGGTTATCTGGAGCGGTTTTAGGCCTACGGTCAAAAAGGAAATATCTTCCTGGGAAAAATAGACGAAAGCATTCTCAGAAACTGCTTTGTGATATGTGCATTCGACTCACCGAGTTGAAACTTTGTTTTGATAGAGCAGTTTTGAAACACTCTGTAGAATCTGAAAGTGGATATTTGGAGCTCTTTGAGGGCTATGGCGGAAAAGAAAATATATTCACATTAAACTAGACAGCAGCATTCCCAGAAACTTCTTTAGGATGTTTGCAGTAAACTCACAGTAGTTGAACATACCTTTCCGTAGAGCAGTTTTGAAACACTCTGTTTGTGGGATCCGCAAGTGGATATTTGGACCGCTTTGAGACCTTTGCTGGAAACGGGAATATCTTCACATATAAACTAGACAGAAACATTCTCAGAAACTTCTTCGTGATGTGTGCATTCTACTCCCGAATTTGAATCTTCCTTTTCATGAAGCAGTTTAGAAACACTCTGTTTGTGCAATCCACAATTGGATAATTGGAACGCTTTGATGCCCATGGTAGAAAAGGAAATATCCTCATATAAAAACTAGACAGAAGGATTCACAGAAAATGCTTTGTGATGTGTGCATTCAAATCACGGAGTTGAATCTTTCTTTTGTTAGAGCAGTTTTGAAACACTGTTTCTGTGGAATCTGCCAGCGGACACTTGGAGCACTTTGAGGGCTATGGTGGAGAAGGAAATATCTTCCCATAAAAACTAGAAAGAAGCATTCTCAGAACCATTTATGTGAAGCGTGCGTTCAACTCACAGAGTTGAACCTTCCTTTTGATAGAACAGTTTTGAAACACTCTTTTGAACAATTGCAGGTGAATATTTGGAGGGCTTTGAAGCCTTTGTTGGAAATGGGAATATCTTCACACACAAACTAGACAGAAGCATTCTCAGAAACTTCTTTGTGATGTGTGCGTTGAACCCAGGGAGATGAACCTTTCCTTTGATAGAGCAGTTTTGAAACGTGTTTTTGTAAGATCTGCAAGCGGATAATTTGTCTCGCTTTGTGTCCTTTGGTGGAAACGGGAATATCTTCTAATAAAAACTAGACAGAAATATTCTCAGAATCTTCTTTGTGATGTGGGCATTCAACTAACACAGTTGAACCTTTCTTTTCACAGAGCAGTTTGGAAACACCCTTTTGGTAGAATCTGCCAGTGGATATTTGGAGCGCTTTGAGGGCTATTGTGCCAACGGAAATATCTGCCCCTAAAAACTAGACAGAAGCATGCTCAGAAACTGCTTTGTGATGTTGGCATTCAACTCACAGAGTTGAACATACCTCTTCATAGAGCAGTTTTGAAAACCTCTTTTTGTAGAATCTGCAAGTGGATATTCGGACCACTTTGAGGCCTTCATAGGAAACAGTAATATCTTCACATAAAAACTAGATAGAAGCATTGTCAGAAAGTTCTTTGTGATGTGTGAATTCAACTCACAGAGTTGAACCTTCCTTTAATAGAGCAGTTTTGAAACACTCTTCTTCTAGAATCTGTAAGTAGATATTTGGAGCGCTTTGAGGCCTTCGTTGGAAACCGAAATATCTTCACAGAAAAAGTAGATAGAGGCATTCTCAGAAACTTTTTTGTGATATGTTGATTCCACTCACAGCGTTGAACCTTTCTTTTGATAGAGCAGTTTTGAAAAACTCTTTTATCGAATCTGCAGGTAGACATTTGGTGTGCTTTGAGGGCTGTGGTGCAAAAGGAAATGTCTTCCCATAGAAACTAGACTGAAACATTCTCAGCAACTTCTTTGTGACGTTTGCATTCATCTCACAGCGTTGAACATACCTTTCCAAAGAGTAGTTTTGAAACACTATTTTTGTAGAATCTGCAAGTGGATATTTGGACTGCTTTGAGGCCTTCATCGGAAACGGGAATATCTTCACATAAACACTAGAGAGAAGCATTCTCAGAAACTTCTTTGTGATCTGTCCATTCAACTCACAGAGTTGAACCTTCCTTTTTATGGAACAGTTTTGAAACACTCCTTTTGGAGAATCTGCAAGTGGATATTTGGAGCGCTTTGAGGCCTATGGTAGAAAAAGAAATATCTGCCTCTAAAAACCAGACAGAAGCATTCCGAGAAACTTCTTTGTGATGTTTGCATTCAACTAGCAGAGTTGAACCTTCCTTTTCATAGGGCAGTTTGGAAACACTCTTTTTGTAGAATCTGCATGTGGATATCTGGAGCGGTTTGAGGCCTACGGTCAAAAAGGAAATATCTTCCTGGGAAAAATAGACGAAAGCATTCTCAGAAACTGCTTTGTGATATGGGCATTCGACTCACCGAGTTGAAACTTTTTTTTGATAGAGCAGTTTTGAAACACTCTGTAGAGATCTGAAAGTGGATATTTGGAGCTCTTTGAGGGCTATGGCGGAAAAGAAAATATATTCACATTAAACTAGAGAGGAGCATTCCCAGAAACTTCTTTAGGATGTTTGCAGTAAACTCACAGAGTTGAACATACCTTTCCGTAGAGCAGTTTTGAAACACTCTGTTTGTGGGATCCGCAAGTGTATATTTGGACCGCTTTGAGACCTTTGCTGGAAACGGGAATATCTTCACATATAAACTAGACAGAAGCATTCTCAGAAACTTCTTCGTGATGTGTGCATTCTCCTCGCGAATTTGAATCTTCCTTTTCATGAAGCAGTTTTGAAACACTCTGTTTGTGCAATCCACAATTGGATAATTGGAACGCTTTGATGCCCATGGTAGAAAAGGAAATATCCTCATATAAAAACTAGACAGAAGGATTCACAGAAAATGCTTTGTGATGTGTGCATTCAAATCACGGAGTTGAATCTTTCTTTTGTTAGAGCAGTTTTGAAACACTGTTTCTGTGGAATCTGCCAGCGGACACTTGGAGCACTTTGAGGGCTGTGGTGGAGAAGGAAATATCTTCCCATAAAAACTAGAAAGAAGCATTCTCAGAAACATTTATGTGAAGCGTGCATTCAACTCACAGAGTTGAACCTTCCTTTTGATACAACAGTTTTGAAACACCCTTTTGAACAATTGCAGGTGAATCTATGGAGCGCTTTGAAGCCTTTGTTGGAAATGGGAATATCTTCACACACAAACTAGCCAGAAGCATTCTCAGAAACTTCTTTGTGATGTGTGCGTTGAACCCAGAGAGGTGAACCTTTCCTTTGATAGAGCAGTTTTGAAACGTGTTTTGGTAAGATCTGCAAACGGATAATTGACTTCGCTTTGTGTATTTTGGTGGAAACGGGAATATCTTCTAATAAAAACTAGACAGAAATATTCTCAGAATCTCCTTTGTGATGTGGGCATTCAACTAACACAGTTGAACATTTCTTTTCACAGAGCAGTTTTGTAACACACTTTTGGTAGAATCTGCCAGTGGATATTTTGAGCGCTTTGAGGGCTGTTGTGCCAATGGAAATATCTGCCCCTAAAATCTAGACAGAAGCATTCTCAGAAACTGCTTCGGGATGTTTGCATTCAACTCACAGAGTTGAACATACCTCTGCATAGAGCAGTTTTGAAAACCTCTTTTTGTAGAATCTGCAAGTGGATATTCGGACCACTTTGAGGCCTTCATGGGAAACAGTAATATCTTAACATAAAAACTAGATAGAAGCATTGTCAGAAAGTTCTTTGTGATGTGTGAATTCAACTCACAGAGTTGAACCTTCCTTCAATAGAGCAGTTTTGAAACACTCTTTTTCTAGAATCTGCAAGTAGATATTTGGAGTGCTTGGAGGCCTTCGTTGGAAACCGGAATATCTTCACAGGAAAAGTAGATAGAGGCATTGTCAGAAACTTTTTTGTGATATGTAGATTCAACTCACAGCGTTGAACCTTTCTTTGGATGGAGCAGTTTTGAAAAACCCTTTTATCGAATCTGCAGGTAGACATTCGGGGTGCTTTGAGGGCTGTGGTGCAAAAGGAAATGTCTTCCCATAGAAACTAGACTGAAGCATTCTCAGCAACTTCTTTGTGATGTTTGCATTCATCTCACAGTGTTGAACATACCTTTGCATAGAGTAGTTTTGAAACACTATTTTTGTAGAATCTGCAAGTGGATATTTGGACTGCTTTGAGGCCTTCATCGGAAACGGGAATATCTTCACATAAACACTGGACAGAAGCATTCTCAGAAACTTCTTTGTGATCTGTCCGTTCAACACACAGAGTTGAACCTTCCTTTTTATGGAGCAGTTTTGAAACACTGTTTGTGGAGAATCTGCAAGTGGATATTTGGAGCGCCTTGAGGCCAATGGTAGAAAAAGAAATATCTGCCTCTAAATACTAGACTGAAGCATTCTGAGAAACTTCTTTGTGATGTTTGCCTTCAACTACCAGAGTTGAACCTTCCTTTTGATAGGGCAGTTTGGAAACACTCTTTTTGTAGAATCTGCATGTGGATATCTGGAGCGATTTGAGGCCTACGGTCCAAAAGGAAATATCTTCCTGTGAAAGATAGACGAAAGCATTCTCAGAAAGTACTTTGTGATATGCGCATTCGACTCACCGAGTTGAAACTTTTTTTTGATAGAGCAGTTTTGAAACACTCTGTAGAATCTGAAAGTGGATATTTGGAGCTCTTTGAGGGCTATGGCGGAAAAGAAAATATATTCACATTAAAGTAGACAGCAGCATTCTCAGAAACTTCTTTAGGATGTTTGCAGTAAACTCACAGAGTTGAACATACCTTTCCGTAGAGCAGTTTTGAAACACTCTGTTTGTGGGATCCGCAAGTGGATATTTGGACCGCTTTGAGACCTTTGCTGGAAATGGGGATATCTTCACGTATAAACTAGACAGAAGCATTCTCAGAAACTTCTTCGTGATGTGTGCATTGTACTCCCAAATTTGAATCTTCCTTCTCATGGAGCAGTTTTGAAACACTCTGTTTGTGCAATCTACAATTGGAGAATTGGAACGCTTGGATGACCGTGGTAGAAAAGGAAATATCCTCATATAAAAACTAGACAGAAGGATTCACAGAAAATGCTTTGTGATGTGTACATTCAAATCACGGAGTTGAATCTTTCTTTTGTCAGAGCAGTTTTGAAACACTGTTTCTGTGGAATCTGCCAGCGGACACTTGGAGCGCTTTGAGGGCTATGGTGGAGAAGGAAATATCTTCCCATAAAAACTAGAGAGAAGCATTCTCAGAAACATTTATGTGAAGCTTGCATTCAACTCACAGAGTTGAACCTTCCCTTTGATACAACAGTTTTGAAACACCCTTTTGAACAATTGCAGGTGAATCTTTGGAGCGCTTTGAAGCCTTTGTTGGAAATGGGAATATCTTCACACACAAACTAGCCAGAAGCATTCTCAGAAACTTCTTTGTGATGTGTGCGTTGAACCCAGAGAGATGAACCTTTCCTTTGATAGAGCAGTTTTGAAACGTGTTTTTGTAAGGTCGGCAAGTGGATAATTGGCTTCGCTTTGTGTCCTTTGGTGGAAACGGGAATATCTTCTAATAAAAACTAGACAGAAATATTCTCAGAATCTCCTTTGTGATGTGGGCATTCAACTAACACAGTTGAACATTTCTTTTCACAGAGCAGTTTTGAAACACTCTTTTGGTCGAATCTGCCAGTGGATATTTGGAGCGCTTGGAGGGCTATTGTGCCAATGGAAATATCTGCCCCCGAAAACTAGACAGAAGCATTCTCAGAAACTGCTTCGTGATGTTTGCATTCAACTCACAGGGTTGAACATACCTCTGCATAGAGCAGTTTTGAAAACCTCTTTTTGTAGAATCTGCAAGTGGATATTCGGACCACTTTGAGGCCTTCATAGGAAACAGTAATATCTTCACATAAAAACTAGACAGAAGCATTGTCAGAAAGTTCTTTGTGATGTGTGAATTCAACTCACAGAGTTGAACCTTCCTTTAATAGAGCAGTTTTGAAACACTCTTTTTCTAGAATCTGCCAGTAGATATTTGGAGCGCTTTGAGGCCTTCGTTGGAAACCAGAATATCTTCACATAAAAAGTAGATAGATGCATTCTCAGAAACTTTTTCGTGATATGTAGATTCAACTCACAGCGTTGAGCCTTTCTTTTGATAGAGCAGTTTCGTAAAACTCTTTTATCGAATCTGCAGGTAGACATTTGGAGTGCTTTGAGGGCTGTGGTGCAAAAGGAAATGTCTTCCCATAGAAACTAGACTGAAGCATTCTCAGCAACTTCTTGGTGACGTTTGCATTCATCTCACAGTGTTGAACATACCTTTCCCTAGAGTGGTTTTAAAACACTGTTTTTGTAGAATCGGCAAGTGGATATTTGGACTGCTTTGAGGCCTTCATCGGAAAAGGGAATATCTTCACATAAACACTAGAGAGAAGCATTCTCAGAAACTTCTTTGTCATCTGTCCATTCAACTCACAGAGTTGAACCTTCCTTTTTATGGAGCAGTTTTGAAACACTCCTTTTGGAGAATCTGCAGGTGGATATTTGGAGTGCTTTGAGGCCTATGGTAGAAAAAGAAATATCTGCCTCTAAAAAAAAGACAGAAGCATTCCGAGAAACTTCTTTGTGATGTTTGCATTCAACTCGCAGAGTTGAACCTTCCTTTTGATAGGGCAGTTTGGAAACACTCTTTTTGTAGAATCTGCATGTGGATATCTGGAGCGGTTTGAGGCCTACGGTCAAAAAGGAAATATCTTCCTGGGAAAAATAGACGAAAGCATTCTCAGAAAGTGCTTTGTGATATGCGCATTCGACTCACCGAGTTGAAACTTTTTTTTGATACAGCAGTTTTGAAACACTCTGTAGAATCTGAAAGTGGATATTTGGAGCTCTTTGAGGGCTATGGCGGAAAAGAAAATATATTCACGTTAAAAAAGTAGACAGCAGCATTCCCAGAAACTTCTTTAGGATGTTTGCTGTAAACTCACAGAGTTGAACATACCTTTCCGTAGAGCAGTTTTGAAACACTCTGTTTGTGGGATCCGCAAGTGGATATTTGGACCGCTTTGAGACCTTTGCTGGAAACGGGAATATCTTCACATATAAACTAGACAGAAGCATTCTCAGAAACTTCTTCGTGATGTGTGCATTCTACTCCCAAATTTGAATCTTCCTTCTCATGAAGCAGTTTTATAACTCTCTATTTGTGCAATTTACAATTGGATAATTGGAACCCTTTGATGCCCATGGTAGAAAAGGAAATATCCTCATATAAAAACTAGACAGAAGGATTCACAGAAAATGCTTTGTGATGTGTGCATTCAAATCACGGAGTTGAATCTTTCTTTTGTTAGAGCAGTTTTGAAACACTGCTTCTGTGGAATCTGCCAGCGGACACTTGGAGCGCTTTGAGGGCTATGGTGGAGAAGGAAATATCTTCACATAAAAACTAGAAAGAAGCATTCTCAGAACCATTTATGTGAAGCGTGCATTCAACTCACAGAGTTGAACCTTCCTTTTGATAGAACAGTTTTGAAACACTCTTTTGAACAATTGCAGGTGAATATTTGGAGGGCTTTGAAGCCTTTGTTGGAAATGGGAATATCTTCACACACAAACTAGCCAGAAGCATTCTCAGAAACTTCTTTGTGATGTGTGCGTTGAACCCAGAGAGATGAACCTTTCCTTTGATAAAGCAGTTTTGAAACGCGTTTTTGTAAGATCGGCAAGCGGATAATTGGCTTCGCTTTGTGTCCTTTGGTGGAAACGGGAATATCTTCTAATAAAAACTAGACAGAGATATTCTCAGAAATTTCTTTGTGATGTGGGCATTCATCTAACACAGTCGAAGATTTCTTTTCACAGAGCAGTTTTGAAATACTCTTTTGGTCGAATCTGCCAGTGGATATTTGGAGCGCTTTGAGGGCTATTGTGCCAATGGAAATATCTGCCCCTAAAAACTAGACAGAAGCATTCTCAGAAACTACTTCATGATGTTTGCATTCAACTCAGAGAGTTGAACATACCTCTTCACAGAGCAGTTTTGAAAACCTCTTTTTGTAGAATCTGCAAGTGGATATTCGGAGCACTTTGAGGCCTTCATAGGAAACAGTAATATACTTCGCATAAAAACTAGATAGAAGTATTGTCAGAAAGTTCTTTGTGATGTGTGAATTCAACTCACAGAGTTGAACCTTCCTTCAATAGAGCAGTTGTGAAACACTCTTTTTCTAGAATCTGCAAGTAGATACTTGGAGCGCTTTGAGGCCTTCGTTGGAAACCGGAATATCTTCACAGGAAAAGTAGATAGAGGCATTCTCAGAAACTTTTTTGTGATATGTAGATTCAACTCACAGCGTTGAACCTTTCTTTGGATGGAGCAGTTTTGAAAAACTCTTTTATCGAATCTGCAGGTAGACATTCGGCGTGCTTTGAGGGCTGTGGTGCAAAAGGAAATGTCTTCCCATAGAAACTAGACTGAAGCATTCTCAGCAACTTCTTGGTGACGTTTGCATTTATCTCACAGTGTTGAACATACCTTTCCATAGAGTGGTTTTGAAACACTGTTTTTGTAGAATCGGCAATTGGATATTTGGACTGCTTTGAGGCCTTCATCGGAAACGGGAATATCTTCACATAAACACTAGAGAGAAGCATTCTCAGAAACTTCTTTGTGATCTGTCCATTCAACTCACAGAGTTGAACCTTCCTTTTTATGGAGCAGTTTTGAAACACTCCTTTTGGAGAATCTGCAAGTGGATATTTGGAGCGCTTTGAGGCCTATGGTAGAAAAAGAAATATCTGCCTCTAAAAACCAGACAGAAGCATTCTGAGAAACTTCTTTGTGATGTTTGGCATTCAACTACCAGAGTTGAACCTTCCTTTTGATAGGGCAGTTTGGAAACACTCTTTTTGTAGAATCTGCATGTGGATATCTGGAGCGATTTGAGGCCTACGGTCCAAAAGGAAATATCTTCCTGGGAAAAATAGACGAAAGCATTCTCAGAAAGTGCTTTGTGATATGTGCATTCGACTCACCGAGTTGAAACTTTTTTTTGATAGAGCAGTTTTGAAACACTCTGTAGAATCTGAAAGTGGATAGTTGGAGCTCTTTGAGGGCTATGGCGGAAAAGAAAATATATTCACATTAAAGTAGACAGCAGCATTCTCAGAAACTTCTTTAGGATGTTTGCAGTAAACTCACAGAGTTGAACCTACCTTTCCGTAGAGCAGTTTTGAAACACTCTGTTTGTGGGATCCGCAAGGGGATATTTGGACCGCTTTGAGACCTTTGCTGGAAATGGGAATATCTTCACATATAAACTAGACAGAAGCATTCTCAGAAGCTTCTTCGTGATGTGTGCATTCTACTCCCAAATTTGAATCTTCCTTTTCATGAAGCAGTTTTGAAACACTCTGTTTGTGCAATCCACAATTGGATAATTGGAACGCTTTGATGCCCATGGTAGAAAAGGAAATATCCTCATATAAAAACTAGACAGAAGGATTCACAGAAAATGCTTTGTGATGTGTGCATTCAAATCACGCAGTTGAATCTTTCTTTTGTTAGAGCAGTTTTGAAACACTGTTTCTGTGGAATCTGCCAGCGGACACTTGGAGCGCTTTGAGGGCTATGGTGGAGAAGGAAATATCTTCACATAAAAACTAGAAAGAAAGCATTCTCAGAACCATTTATGTGAAGCGTGCATTCAACTCTCAGTAGTTGAACCTTCCTTTTGTTAGAACAGTTTTGAAACACTCTTTTGAACAATTGCAGGTGAATATTTGGAGCGCTTTGAAGCCTTTGCTGGAAATGGGAATATCTTCACGCACAAAGTAGCCAGAGCATTCTCAGAAACTTCTTTGTGATGTGTGCGTTGAACCCAGAGAGATGAACCTTTCCTTTGATAGAGCAGTTTTGAAACGTGTTTTTGTAAGATCTGCAAGCGGATAATTGGCTTCTCTTTGTGTCCTTTGGTGGAAACGGGAATATCTTCTAATAAAAACTAGACAGAAATATTCTCAGAATCTCCTTTGTGATGTGGGCATTCAACTAACACAGTTGAACATTTCTTTTCACAGAGCAGTTTTGAAACACCCTTTTGGTAGAATCTGCCAGTGGATATTTGGAGCGCTTGGAGGGCTATTGTGCCAATGGAAATATCTGCCCCTGAAAACTAGACAGAAGCATTCTCAGAAACTGCTTCGTGATGTTTGCATTCAACTCACAGACTTGAACATACCTCTGCATAGAGCACTTTTGGAAACCTCTTTTTGTAGAATCTGCAAGTGGATATTCGGAACACTCTGAGGCCTTCATAGGAAACAGTAATATCTTCACATAAAAACTAGATAAAAGCATTGTCAGAAAGTTCTTTGTGATGTGTGAATTCAACTCACAGAGTTGAACCTTCCTTTAATAGAGCAGTTTTGAAACACTCTTTTTCTAGAATCTGCAAGTAGATATTTGGAGCGCTTTGAGGCCTTCGTTGGAAACCAGAATATCTTCACAGGAAAAGTAGATAGAGGCATTCTCAGAAAACTTTTTTGTGATATGTAGATTCAACTCACAGCGTTGAACCTTTCTTTGGATGGAGCAGTTTTGAAAAACTCTTTTATCGAATCTGCAGGTAGACATTCGGGGTGCTTTGAGGGCTGTGGTGCAAAAGGAAATGTCTTCCCATAGAAACTAGACTGAAGCATTCTCAGCAACTTCTTTGTGATGTTTGCATTCATCTCACAGTGTTGAACATACCTTTCCATAGGGTAGCTTTGAAGCACTATTTTTGTAGAATCTGCAAGTGGATATTTGGACTGCTTTGAGGCCTTCATCGGAAACGGGAATATCTTCACATAAACACTAGACAGAAGCATTCTCAGAAACTTCTTTGTCATCTGTCCATTCAACTCACAGAGTTGAACCTTCCTTATTCTGGAGCAGTTTTGAAACACTCTTTTTGGAGAATCTGCAAGTGGATATTTGGAGCGCTTTGAGGCCTATGGTAGAAAAAGAAATATCTGCCCCTAAACACCAGACAGAAGCATTCTGAGAAACTTCTTTGTGATGTTTGCATTCAACTACCAGATTTGAACCTTCCTTTTGATAGGGCAGTTTGGAAACACTCTTTTTGTAGAATCTGCATGTGGACATCTGGAGCGATTTGAGGCCTACGGTCAAAAAGGAAATATCTTCCTGGGAAAAATAGACGAAAGCATTCTCAGAAAGTGCTGTGTGATATGTGCATTCGACTCCCCGAGTTGAAACTTTTTTTTGATAGAGCAGTTTTGAAACACTCTGTAGAATCTGAAAGTGGATATTTGGAGCTCTTTGAGGGCTATGGCGGAAAAGAAAATATATTCACATTAAAGTAGACAGCAGCATTCCCAGAAACTTCTTTAGGATGTTTTTCAAGTTAAACTCACAGAGTTGAACATACCTTTCCGTAGAGCAGTTTTGAAACACTCTGTTTGTGGGATCCGCAAGTGGATATTTGGACCCCTTTGAGACCTTTGCTGGAAACGGGAATATCTTCACATATAAACTAGACAGAAGCATTCTCAGTAAACTTCTTCGTGATGTGTGCATTCTACTCCCGAATTTGAATCTTCCTTTTCATGAAGCAGTTTTGAAACACTCTGTTTGTGCAATCCACAATTGGATAAATGGAACGCTTTGATGCCCATGGTAGAAAAGGAAATATCCTCATATAAAAACTAGACAGAAGGATTCACAGAAAATGCTTTGTGATGTGTGCATTCAAATCACGGAGTTGAATCTTTCTTTTGTGAGAGCAGTTTTGAAACACTGTTTCTTTGGAATCTGCCAGCGGACTCTTGGAGCTCTTTGAGGGCTATGGTGGAGAAGGAAATATCTTCCCATAAAAACTAGAAAGAAGCATTCTCAGAACCATTTATGTGAAGCGTGCGTTCAACTCACAGAGTTGAACCTTCCTTTTGATAGAACAGTTTTGAAACACTCTTTTGAACAATTGCAGGTGAATATTTGGAGGGCTTTGAAGCCTTTGTTGGAAATGGGAATATCTTCACACACGAACTAGCCAGAAGCATTCTCAGAAACTTCTTTGTGATGTGTGCGTTGAACCCAGAGAGATGAACCTTTCCTTTGATAGAGCAGTTTTGAAACGTGTTTTTGTAAGGTCTGCAAGCGGATAATGGGCTTCGCTTTGTGTCCTTTGGTGGAAACGGGAATATCTTCTAATAAAAACTAGACAGAAATATTCTCACAATCATCTTTGTGATGTGGGCATTCAACTAACACAGTTGAACATTTCTTTTCACAGAGCAGTTTTGAAACACTCTTTTGCTAGAATCTGCCAGTGGATACTTGGAGCGCTTTGAGGGCTATTGTGCCAATGGAGATATCTTCCCCTAAAAACTAGACAGAAGCATTCTCAGAAACTACTTTGTGATGTTTGCATTCAACTCACAGAGTTGAACATACCTCTTCATAGAGCAGTTTTGAAATCCTCTTTTTGTAGAATCTGCAAGTGGATATTCAGACCACTTTAAGGCCTTCATAGGAAACAGTAATACCTTCACGTAAAAACTAGATAGAAGCATTGTCAGAAAGTTCTTTGTGATGTGTGAATTCAACTCACAGAGTTGAACCTTCCTTTAATAGAGCAGTTTTGAAACACTCTTCTTCTAGAATCTGCAAGTAGATATTTGGAGCGCTTTGAGGCCTTTGTTGGAAACCGGAATATCTTCACAGAAAAAGTAGATAGAGGCATTCTCAGAAACTTTTTTGTGATATGTAGATTCAACTCACAACGTTGAACCTTTCTTTTGATAGAGCAGTTTTGAAAAACTCTTTTATCGAATCTGCCCGTAGACCTTTTGAGTGCTTTGAGGGCTGTGGTGCAAAAGGAAATGTCTTCCCATAGAAACTAGACTGAAGCATTGTCAGCAACTTCTTGGTGACGTTTGCATTCATCTCACAGCGTTGAACATACCTTTCCATAGAGTGGTTTTGAAACACTGTTTTTGTAGAATCGGCAAGTGGATATTTGGACTGCTTTGAGGCCTTCATCGGAAACGGGAATATCTTCACATAAACACTAGAGAGAAGCATTCTCAGAAACTTCTTTGTGATCTGTCCATTCAACTCACAGAGTTGAACCTTCCTTTTTATGGAGCAGTTTTGAAACACTGTTCTTGGAGAATCTGCACGTGGATATTTGGAGCGCTTTGAGGCCTGTGGTAGAAAAAGAAATATCTGCCTCTAAAAACTAGACAGAAGCATTCTGAGAAACTTCTTTGTGATGTTTGCATTCAAGTACCAGAGTTGAACCTTCCTTTTGATAGGGCAGTTTGGAAACACTCTTTTTGTAGAATCTGCATGTGGATATCTGGAGCGATTTGAGGCCTACGGTCAAAAAGGAAATATCTTCCTGGGAAAAATAGACGAAAGCATTCTCAGAAACTGCTTTGTGATATGCGCATTCGACTCACCGAGTTGAAACTTTTTTTTGATAGAGCAGTTTTGAAACACTCTGTAGAATCTGAAAGTGGATATTTGGAGCTCTTTGAGGGCTATGGCGGAAAAGAAAATATATTCACATTAAAGTAGACAGCAGCATTCCCAGAAACTTCTTTAGGATGTTTGCAGTAAACTCACAGAGTTGAACATACCTTTCCGTAGAGCAGTTTTGAAACACTCTGTTTTTGGGATCCGCAAGTGGATATTTGGACCACTTTGAGACCTTTGCTGGAAACGGGAATATCTTCACATATAAACTAGACAGAAGCATTCTCAGAAACTTCTTCATGATGTGTGCATTCTAATCCCAAATTTGAATCTTCCTTTTCATGAAGCAGTTTTGAAACACTCTATTTGTGCATTCTACAATTGGATGATTGGAACGCTTTGATGCCCATGGTAGAAAAGGAAATATCCTCATATAAAAACTAGACAGAAGGATTCACAGAAAATGCTTTGTGATGTGTGCATTCAAATCACGGAGTTGAATCTTTCTTTTGTGAGAGCAGTTTTGAAACACTGTTTCTGTGGAATCTGCCAGCGGACACTTGGTTCGCTTTGAGGGCTATGGTGGAGAAGGAAATATCTTCCCATAAAAACTAGAAAGAAGCATTCTCAGAAACATTTATGTGAAGCGTGCATTCAACTCACAGAGTTGAACCTTCCTTTTGATACAACAGTTTTGAAACACTCTTTTGAACAATTGCAGGTGAATCTTTGGAGCGCTTTGAAGCCTTTGTTGGAAAAGGGAATATCTTCACACACAAACTAGCCAGAAGCATTCTCAGAAACTTCTTTGTGATGTGTGCGTTGAACCCAGAGAGATGAACCTTTCCTTTGATAGAGCAGTATTGAAACGTGTTTTTGTAAGATCTGCAAGCGGATAGTTGGCTTCGCTTTGTGTCCTTTGGTGGAAACGGGAATATCTTCTAATAAAAACTAGACAGAAATATTCTCAGAATCTTCTTTGTGATGTGGGCATTCAACTAACACAGTTGAACGTTTCTTTTCACAGAGCAGTTTTGAAACACTCTTTTGGTAGAATCTGCCAGTGGATATTTGGAGCGCTATGAGGGCTCTTGTGCCAACGGAAATATCTGCCCCTAAAAACTAGACAGAAGCATTCTCAGAAACTGCTTTGTGATGTTTGCATTCAACTCACAGAGTTGAACATACCTTTTCATAGAGCAGTTTTGAAAACCTCTTTTTGTAGAATCTGCAAGAGGATATTCGGACCACTTTGAGGCCTTCATAGGAAACAGTAATATCTTCACGTAAAAACTAGATAGAAGCATTGTCAGAAAGTTCTTTGTGATGTGTGAATTCAACTCACAGAGTTGAACCTTCCTTTAATAGAGCAGTTTTGAAACACTCTTTTTCTAGAATCTGCAAGTAGATATTTGGAGCGCTTTGAGGCCATCGTTGGAAACTGGAATATCTTCACATAAAAAGTAGACAGAGGCATTCTCAGAAACTTTTTTGTGATATGTAGATTCAACTCACAGTGTTGAACCTTTCTTTGGATGGAGCAGTTTTGAAAAACCCTTTTATCGAATCTGCAGGTAGACATTTGGGGTGCTTTGAGGGCTGTGGTGCAAAAGGAAATGTCTTCCCATAGAAACTAGACTGAAGCATTCTCAGCAACTTCTGTGTGACGTTTGCATTCATCTCACAGTGTTGAACATACCTTTCCATAGAGTAGTTTTGAAACACTGTTTTTGTAGAATCGGCAAGTGGATATTTGGACTGCTTTGAGGCCTTCATCGGAAACGGGAATATCTTCACATAAACACTAGAGAGAAGCATTCTCAGAAACTTCTTTGTGGTCTGTCCATTCAACTCACAGAGTTGAACCTTCCTTTTTATGGAGCAGTTTTGAAACACTGTTTTTGGAGGATCTGCAAGTGGATATTTGGAGCGCTTTGAGGCCTACGGTAGAAAAAGAACTATCTGCCTATGACAACTAGACAGAAGCATTCTGAGAAACTTCTTTGTGATGTTTGCATTCAACTACCAGAGTTGAACCTTCCTTTTGATAGGGCAGTTTGGAAACACTCTTTTTGTAGAATCTGCATGTGGATATCTGGAGCGATTTGAGGCCTACGGTCCAAAAGGAAATATCTTCCTGGGAAAAATAGAGGAAAGCATTCTCAGAAACTGCTTTGTGATATGTGCATTCGACTCAACGAGTTGAAACTTTTTTTTGATAGAGCAGTTTTGAAACACTCTGTAGAATCTGAAAGTGGATATTTGGAGCTCTTTGAGGGCTATGGCGGAAAAGAAAACATATTCACATTAAACTGGACAGCAGCATACTCAGAAACTTCTTTAGGATGTTTGCAGTAAACTCACAGAGTTGAACATACCTTTCCGTAGAGCAGTTTTGAAACACTCTGTTTGTGGGATCCGCAAGTGGATATTTGGACCGCTTTGAGACCTTTGCTGGAAATGGGAATATCTTCACATATAAACTAGACAGAAGCATTCTAAGAAACTTCTTCTTGATGTGTGCATTCTACTCCCGAATTTGAATCTTCCTTCTCATGAAGCAGTTTTGAAACACTCTATTTGCGCAATCTACTATTGGATAATTGGAACGCTTTGATGCCCATGGTAGAAAAGAAAATATCCTCATATAAAAACTAGACAGAAGGATTCACAGAAAATGCTTTGTGATGTGTGCATTCAAATCACGGAGTTGAATCTTTCTTTTGTTAGAGCAGTTTTGAAACACTGTTTCTGTGGAATCTGCCAGCGGACACTTGGAGCGCTTTGAGGGCTACGATGGAGAAGGAAATATCTTCACATAAAAACTAGAAAGAAGCATTCTCAGAAACATTTATGTGAAGCGTGCATTCAACTCACAGAGTTGAACCTTCCTTTGGATACAACAGTTTTGAAACACTCTTTTGAACAATTGCAGGTGAATCTTTGGAGCGCTTTGAAGCCTTTGTTGGAAATGGGAATATCTTCACACACAAACTAGCCAGAAGCATTCTCAGAAACTTCTTTGTGATGTGTGAGTTGAACCCAGAGAGATGAACCTTTCCTTGGATAGAGCAGTTTTGAAACGTGTTTTTGTAAGATCTGCAAGTGGATAATTGGCTTCGCTTTGTGTCCTTTGGTGGAAACGGGAATATCTTCTAATAAAAACTAGACAGAAATATTCTCAGAATCTCCTTTGTGATGTGGGCATTCAACTAACACAGTTGAACATTTCTTTTCACAGAGCAGTTTTGAAACACTCTTTTGGTAGAATCTGCCAGTGGATATTTGGAGCGCTTTGAGGGCTGTTGTGCCAATGGAAATATCTGCCCCTGAAATCTAGACAGAAGCATTCTCAGAAACTACTTCGTGATGTTTGCATTCAACTCAGAGAGTTGAACATACCTCTTCACAGAGCAGTTTTGAAAACCTCTTTTTGTAGAATCTGCAAGTGGATATTCGGAGCACTTTGAGGCCTTCATAGGAAACAGTAATATCTTCGCATAAAAACTAGATAGAAGCATTGTCAGAAAGTTCTTTGTGATGTGTGAATTCAACTCACAGAGTTGAACCTTCCTTTAATAGAGCAGTTTTGAAACACTCTTTTTCTAGAATCTGCAAGTAGATATTTGGAGCGCTTTGAGGCCATCGTTGGAAACCGGAATATCTTCACATAAAAAGTAGACAGAGGCATTGTCAGAAACTTTTTTGGTGATATGTAGATTCAACTCACAGCGTTGAACCTTTCTTTGGATGGAGCAGTTTTGAAAAACCCTTTTATCGAATCTGCAGGTAGACATTCGGGGTGCTTTGAGGGCTGTGGTGCAAAAGGAAATGTCTTCCCATAGAAACTAGACTGAAGCATTCTCAGCAACTTCTTGGTGACGTTTGCATTCATCTCACAGTGTTGAACATACCTTTCCATAGAGTGGTTTTGAAACACTGTTTTTGTAGAATCGGCAAGTGGATATTTGGACTGCTTTCAGGCCTTCATCGGAAACGGGAATATCTTCACATAAACACCAGAGAGAAGCATCCTCAGAAACTTCTTTGTCATCTGTCCATTCAACTCACAGATTTGAACCTTCCTTTTTCTGCAGCAGTTTTGAAACACTGTTTTTGGAGAATCTGCAAGTGGATATTTGGAGCGATTTGAGGCCTATGGTAGAAAAAGAAATATCTGCCTCTAAAAACCAGACAGAAGCATTCCGAGAAACTTCTTTGTGATGTTTGCATTCAACTAGCAGAGTTGAACCTTCCTTTTGATAGGGCAGTTTGGAAACACTCTTTTTGTAGAATCTGCATGTGGATATACTGGAGTGGTTTGAGGCCTACGGTCAAAAAGGAAATATCTTCCTGGGAAAAATAGACGAAAGCATTCTCAGAAACTGCTTTGTGATATGTGCATTCGACTCACCGATTTGAAACTTTTTTTTGATAGAGCAGTTTTGAAACACTCTGTAGAATCTGAAAGTGGATATTTGGAGCTCTTTGAGGGCTATGGCGGAAAAGAAAATATATTCACATTAAACTACACAGCAGCATTCTCAGAAACTTCTTTAGGATGTTTGCAGTAAACTCACAGAGTTGAACCTACCTTTCCATAGAGCAGTTTTGAAACACTCTGTTTGTGGGATCCGCAGGTGGATATTTGGACCGCTTTGAGGCCTTTGCTGGAAATGGGAATATCTTCACATATAAACTAGACAGAAGCATTCTCAGAAACTTCCTCGTGATGTGTGCATTCTACTCCCGAATTTGAATCTTCCTTTTCCTGAAGCAGTTTTGAAACACTCTGTTTGTGCAATCCACAATTGGATAATTGGAACGCTTTGATGCCCATGGTAGAAAAGGAAATATCCTCATATGAAAACTAGACAGAAGGATTCACAGAAAATGCTTTGTGATGTGTGCATTCAAATCACGGAGTTGAATCTTTCTTTTGACAGAGCAGTTTTGAAACACTGTTTCTGTGGAATCTGCCAGCGGACACTTGGAGCGCTTTGAGGGCTACGGTGGAGAAGGAAATATCTTCCCATAAAAACTAGAAAGAAGTATTCTCAGAACCATTTATGTGAAGCGTGCGTTCAACTCACAGAGTTGAACCTTCCTTTTGATAGAACAGTTTTGAAACACTCTTTTGAACAATTGCAGGTGAATATTTGGAGGGCTTTGAAGCCTTTGTTGGAAATGGGAATATCTTCACACACAAACTAGCCAGAAGCATTCTCAGAAACTTCTTTGTAATGTGTGCGTTGAACCCAGAGAGATGAACCTTTCCTTCGATAGAGCAGTTTTGAAACGTGTTTTTGTAAGATCGGCAAGCGGATAATTGGCTTCGCTTTGTGTCCTTTGGTGGAAACGGGAATATCTTCTAATAAAAACTAGACAGAAATATTCTCAGAATCTTCTTTGTGATGTGGGCATTCAACTAACACATTTGAACATTTCTTTTCACAGAGCAGTTTTGAAACACTCTTTTGGTGGAATCTGCCAGTGGATATTTGGAGCGCTTTGAGGGCGATTGTGCCTATGGAAATATCTGCCCCTAAAAACTAGACAGAAGCATTCTCAGAAACTGCTTCGTGATGTTTGCATTCAACTCACAGGGTTGAACATACCTCTGCATAGAGCAGTTTTGAAAACCTCTTTTTGTAGAATCTGCAAGTGGATATTCGGACCACTTTGAGGCCTTCATAGGAAATAGTAATATCTTCACATAAAAATTAGATAGAAGCATTGTCAGAAAGTTCTTTGTGATGTGTGAATTCAACTCACAGAGTTGAACCTTCCTTTAATAGAGCAGTTTTGAAACACTCTTTTTCTAGAATCTGCAAGTAGATATTTGGAGCGCTTTGAGGCCTTCTTTGGAAACCGGAATATCTTCACAGGAAAAGTAGATAGAGGCATTCTCAGAAACTTTTTTGTGATATGTAGATTCAACTCACAGCGTTGAACCTTTCTTTGGATGGAGCAGTTTTGAAAAACCCTTTTATCGAATCTGCAGGTGGACATTTGGGGTGCTTTGAGGGCTGTGGTGCAAAAGGAAATGTCTTCCCATAGAAACTAGACTGAAGCATTCTCAGCCACTTATTTGTGACGTTTGCATTCATCTCACAGTGTTGAACATACCTTTCCATAGAGTAGTTTTGAAGCACTATTTTTGTAGAATCTGCAAGTGGATATTTGGACTGCTTTGAGGCCTTCATCGGAAACGGGAATACCTTCACATAAACACTAGACAGAAGCATTCTCAGAAACCTCTTTGTGGTCTGTCCATTCAACTCACAGAGTTGAACCTTCCTTTTTATGGAGCAGTATTGAAACACAGTTTTTGGAGAATCTGCAAGTGGATATTTGGAGCGCTTTGAGGCCTATGGTAGAAAAAGAAATATCTGCCTATGACAACTAGACAGAAGCATTCTGAGAAACTTCTTTGTGATGGGTGCATGCAACTACAAGAGTTGAACCTTCCTTTTGATAGGGCAGTTTGGAAACACTCTTTTTGTAGAATCTGCATGTGGATATCTGGAGCGATTTGAGGCCTATGGTCAAAAAGGAAATATTTTCCTGGGAAAAATAGACGAAAGCATTCTCAGAAACTGCTTTGTGACATGTGCATTCGACTCACCGTGTTGAAACTGTTTTTCGATAGAGCAGTTTTGAAACACTCTGTAGAATCTGAAAGTGGATATTTGGAGCTCTTTGAGGGCTATGGCGGAAAAGAAAATATATTCACATTAAACTAGACAGCAGCATTCTCAGAGACTTCTTTAGGATGTTTGCAGTAAACTCACAGAAGTTGAACATACCTTTCCGTAAAGCAGTTTTGAAACCCTCTGTTTGTGGGATCTGCAAGTGGATATTTGGACCGCTTTGAGACCTTTGCTGGAAATGGGAATATCTTCACATATAAACTAGACAGAAGCATTCTCAGAAACTTCTTCGTGATGTGTGCATTCTCCTCCCAAATTTGAATCTTCCTTTTCATGAAGCAGTTTTGAAACACTCCGTTTGTGTAATCTACAATTGGATAACTGGAAGGCTTTGATGCCCATGGTAGAAAAGGAAATAACCTCATATAAAAACTAGACAGAAGGATTCACAGAAAATGCTTTGTGATGTGTGCATTCAAATCACGGAGTTGAATCTTTCTTTTGTTAGAGCAGTTTTGAAACACTGTTTCTGTGGAATCTGCCAGCGGACACTTGGAGCGCTTTGAGGGCTATGGTGGAGAAGGAAATAACTTCCCATAAAAACTAGAAAGAAGCATTCTCAGAACCATTTATGTGAAGCGTGCATTCAACTCACAGAGTTGAACCTTCCTTTTGATAGAACAGTTTTGAAACACTCTTTTGAACAATTGCAGGTGAATATTTGGAGGGCTTTGAAGCCTTTGTTGGAAACGGGAATATCTTCACACACGAACTAGCCAGAAGCATTCCCAGAAACTTCTTTGTGATGTGTGCGTTGAACCCAGAGAGATGAACCTTTCTTTGATAGAGCAGTTTTGAAACGTGTTTTTGTAAGATCGGCAAGCGGATAATTGGCTTCGCTTTGTGTCCTTTGGTGGAAACGGGAATATCTTCTAATAAAAACTAGACAGAAATATTCTCAGAATCTCCTTTGTGATGTGGGCATTCAACTAACACAGTTGAACATTTCTTTTGACACAGCAGTTTTGAAACACACTTTTGGTAGAATCTGCCAGTGGATATTTGGAGCGCTTGGAGGGCTATTGTGCCAATGGAAATATCTGCCCCTGAAATCTGGACAGAAGCATTCTCAGAAACTGCTTCGTGATGTTTGCATTCAACTCACAGAGTTGAACATACGTGTGCATAGAGCAGTTTTGAAAACCTCTTTTTGTAGAATCTGCAAGTGGATATTCGGACCACTTTGAGGCCTTCATAGGAAACAGTAATATCTTCACATAAAAACTAGATAGAAGCATTCTCAGAAAGTTCTTTGTGATGTGTAAATTCAACTCACAGAGTTGAACCTTCGTTTAATAGAGCAGTTTTGAAACACTCTTTTTCTAGAATCTGCAAGTAGATATTTGGAGCGCTTTGAGGCCTTCGTTGGAAACCGGAATATCTTCACACAAAAAGTAGATAGAGGCATGCTCAGAAACTTTTTTGTCATATGTAGATTCAACTCACAGCGTTGAACCTTTCTTTTGATAGAGCAGTTTTGAAAAACTCTTTTATCGAATCTGCAAGTAGACATTTGGAGTGCTTTGAGGGCTTCTGGTGCAAAAGGAAATGTCTTCCCATAGAAACTAGACTGAAAGCATTCTCAGCAACTTCTTGGTGACGTTTGCATTCATCTCACAGTTTTGAACATACCTTTCCATAGAGTGGTTTTGAAACACTGTTTTTGTATAATCGGCAAGTGGATATTTGGACTGCTTTCAGGCCTTCATCGGAAACGGGAATATCTTCACATAAACACTAGAGAGAAGCATTCTCAGAAACTTCTTTGTGGTCTGTCCATTCAACTCACAGAGTTGAACCTTCCTTTTTATGGAGCAGTTTTGAAACCCTGTTTTTGGAGAATCTGCAAGTGGATATTTGGAGCGCTTTGAGGCCTATGGTAGAAAAAGAAATATCTGCCTATGACAACTAGACAGAAGCATTCTGAGAAACTTCTTTGTGATGTTTGCCTTCAACTACCGGAGTTGAACCTTCCTTTTGATAGGGCAGTTTGGAAACACTCTTTTTGTAGAATCTGCATGTGGATATCTGGAGCGATTTGAGGCCTACGGTCCAAAAGGAAATATCTTCCTGGGAAAGATAGACGAAAGCATTCTCAGCAACTGCTTTGTGATATGTGCATTCGACTCACCGAGTTGAAACTTTTTTTTGATAGAGCAGTTTTGAAACACTCTGTAGAATCTGAAAGTGGATATTTGGAGATCTTTGAGGGCTATGGCGGAAAAGAAAGTATATTCACATTAAAGTAGACAGCAGCATTCCAAGAAACTTCCTTAGGATGTTTGCAGTAAACTCACAGAGTTGAGCATTCCTTTCCGTAGAGCAGTTTTGAAACACTCTGTTTGTGGGATCCGCAAGTGGACATTTGGACCGCTTTGAGACCTTTGCTGGAAATGGGAATATCTTCACATATAAACTGGACAGAAGCATTCTCAGAAACTTCTTCATGATGTGTGCATTCTCCTCGCGAATTTGAATCTTCCTTTTCATGAAGCAGTTTTGAAACACTCTGTTTGTGCAATCCACAATTGGATAATTGGAACGCTTTGATGCCCATGGTAGAAAAGGAAATATCCTCATATAAAAACTAGACAGAAGGATTCACAGAAAATGCTTTGTGATGTGTGCATTCAAATCACGGAGTTCAATCTTTCTTTTGTTAGAGCAGTTTTGAAACACTGTTTCTGTGGAATCTGCCATCGGACACTTGGAGCGCTTTGAGGGCTGTGGTGGAGAAGGAAATATCTTCCCATAAAAACTAGAAAGAAGCATTCTCATAAACATTTATGTGAAGCGTGCATTCAACTCACAGAGTTGAACCTTCGTTTTGATAGAACAGTTTGGAAACACTCTTTTGAACAATTGCAGGTGAATCTTTGGAGCGCTTTGAAGCCTTTGTTGGAAATGGGAATATCTTCACACACAAACTAGCCAGAAGCATTCTCAGAAAGTTCTTTGTGATGTGTGCGTTGAACCCAGAGAGATGAACCTTTCCTTGGATAGAGCAGTTTTGAAACGTGTTTTTGTAAGATCTGCAAGTGGATAATTGGCTTCGCTTTGTGTCCTTTGGTGGAAACGGGAATATCTTCTAATAAAAACTAGACAGAAATATTCTCAGAATCTCCTTTGTGATGTGGGCATTCAACTAACACAGTTGAACATTTCTTTTCACAGAGCAGTTTTGAAACACTCTTTTGGGAGAATCTGCCAGTGGATATTTGGAGCGCTTGGAGGGCTATTGTGCCAATGGAAATATCTGCCCCTGAAAACTAGACAGAAGCTTTCTCAGAAACTACATAGTGATGTTCGCATTCGACTCACAGAGTTGAACATACCTCTTCATAGAGCAGTTTTTAAAACCTTTTTTGTAGAACCTGAAAGTGGATATTCGGACCACTTTGAAGCCTTCATAGGAAACAGTAATATCTTCACATAAAACCTAGATAGAAGCATTGTCAGAAACTTCTTTGTGATGTGTGAATTCAACTCACAGAGTTGAACCTTCCTTTAATAGAGCAGTTGTGAAACACTCTTTTTCTAGAATCTGCAAGTAGATATTTGGAGCGCTTTGAGGCCTTCGTTGGAAACCGGAATATCTTCACAGGAAAAGTAGATAGAGGCATTCTCAGAAACTTGTTTTGTGATATGTAGATTCAACTCACAGCGTTGAACCTTTCTTTGGATGGAGCAGTTTTGAAAACCTCTTTTATCGAATCTGCAGGTAAACATTTGGGGTGCTTTGAGGGCTGCGGTGCAAAAGGAAATGTCTTCCCATAGAAACTAGACTGAAGCATTCTCAGCAACTTCTTCGTGAGGTTTGCATTCATTTCACAGTGTTGAGCATACCTTTCCACAGAGTAGTTTTGAAACACTATTTTTGTAGAATTTGCAACTGGATATTTGGACTGCTTTGAGGCCTTCATCGGAAACGGGAATATCTTCACATAAACACTAGACAGAAGCATTCTCAGAAACTTCTTTGTGATCTGTCCATTCAACTCACAGAGTTGAACCTTCCTTTTTATGGAGCAGCTTTGAAACACTGTTTTTGGAGAATCTGCAAGTGGATATTCGGAGCGGTTTGAGGCCTATGGTAGAAAAAGAAACATCTGCCTCTAAAAACTAGACTGAAGCATTCTGAGAAACTTCTTTGTGATGTTTGCATTCAACTACCAGAGTTGAACCTTCCTTTTGATTGCGCAGTTTGGAAACACTCTTTTTGTAGAATCTGCATGTGGATATCTGGAGCGATTTGAGGCCTACGGTCAAAAAGGAAATATCTTCCTGGGAAAAATAGACGAAATCATTCTCAGAAACTACTTTGTGTTATGAGCATTCAACTCACAGAGTTGAACCTTTTTTTTGATAGAGCAGTTTTGAAACACTCTGTAGAATCTGAAAGTGGATATTTGGAGCTCTTTGAGGGCTATGGTGGAAAAGAAAATATATTCACATTAAACTAGACAGCAGCATTCTCAGTAACTTCTTTAGGATGTTTGCAGTAAACTCACAGAGTTGAACATAACTTTCCGTAGAGCAGTTTTGAAACACTCTGTTTGTGGGATCCGCAAGGGGATATTTGGACCGCTTTGAGACCTTTGCTGGAAATGGGAATATCTTCACATATAAACTAGACAGAAGCATTCTCAGAAACTTCTTCGTGATGTGTGCATTCTACTCCCAAATTTGAAACTTCCTTTTCATGAAGCAGTTTTGAAACACTCTATTTGTGCATTCTACAATTGGATGATTGGAACGCTTTGATGCCCATGGTAGAAAAGGAAATATCCTCATATAAAAACTAGACAGAAGGATTCACAAAAAATGCTTTGTGATGTGTGCATTCAAATCACGGAGTTGAATCTTTCTTTTGTTAGAGCAGTTTTGAAACACTGTTTCTGTGGAATCTGCCAGCGGACACTTGGAGCGCTTTGAGGGCTGTGGTGGAGAAGGAAATATCTTCCCATAAAAACTAGAAAGAAGCATTCTCAGAAACATTTATGTGAAGCGTGCTTTCAACTCACAGAGTTGAACCTTCCTTTTGATACAACAGTTTTGAAACACCCTTTTGAACAATTGCAGGTGAATCTTTGGAGCGCTTTGAAGCCTTTGTTGGAAATGGGAATATCTTCACACACAAACTAGCCAGAAGCATTCTCAGAAACTTCTTTGTGATGTGTGCGTTGAACCCAGAGAGATGAACCTTTCCTTGGATAGAGCACTTTTGAAACGTGTTTTTGTAAGATCTGCAAGCGGATAATTGGCTTCGCTTTGTGTCCTTTGGTGGAAACGGGAATATCTTCTAATAAAAACTAGACAGAAATATTCTCAGAATCTCCTTTGTGATGTGGGCATTCAACTAACACAGTTGAACATTTCTTTTCACAGAGCAGTTTTGAGACACTCTTTTGGTAGAATCTGCCAGTGGATATTTGGAGCGCTTTGAGGGCTGTTGTGCCAATGGAAATATCTGCCCCTAAAATCTAGACAGAAGCATTCTCAGAAACTACTTCGTGATGTTTGCATTCAACACACAGAGTTGAACATACCTCTTCACAGAGCAGTTTTGAAAACCTCTTTCTGTAGAATCTGCAAGTGATATTCGGACCACTTTGAGGCCTTCATAGGAAACAGTAATATCTTCACATAAAAACTAGATAGAAGCATTGTCAGAAAGTTCTTTGTGATGTGTGAATTGAAATCACAGAGTTGAACCTTCCTTTAATAGAGCAGTTTTGAAACACTCTTTTTCTAGAATCTGCAAGTAGATATTTGGAGAGCTTTGAGGCCTTCGTTGGAAACCGGAATATCTTCACATAAAAAGTAGATAGAGGCATTCTCAGAAACTTTTTTGTGATATGTAGATTCAACTCACAGCGTTGAACCTTTCTTTGGATGGAGCAGTTTTGAAAAACTCTTTTATCGAATCTGCAGGTAGACATTTGGGGTGCTTTGAGGGCTGTGGCGCAAAGGGAAATGTCTTCCCATAGAAACTAGACTGAAGCATTCTCAGCAACTTCTTTGTGACGTTTGCATTCATCTCACAGTGTTGAACATACCTTTCCATAGAGTAGTTTTGAAACACTGTTTTTGTAGAATCGGCCAGTGGATATTTGGACTGCTTTGAGGCCTTCATCGGAAACGGGAATATCTTCACATAAACACTAGAGAGAAGCATTCTCAGAAACTTCTTTGTCATCTGTCCATTCAACTCACAGAGTTGAACCTTCCTTTTTATGGAGCAGTTTTGAAACACTCCTTTTGGAGAATCTGCAAGTGGATATTTGGAGCGCTTTGAGGCCTATGGTAGAAAAAGGAATATCTGCCTCTGAAAACCAGACAGAAGCATTCCGAGAAACTTCTTTGTGATGTTTGCATTCAACTAGCAGAGGTGAACCTTCCTTTTGATAGGGCAGTTTGGAAACACTCTTTTTGTAGAATCTGCATGTGGATATCTTGAGCGGTTTGAGGCCTACGGTCAAAAAGGAAATATCTTCCTGGGAAAAATAGACGAAAGCATTCTCAGAAAGGGCTTTGTGATATGCGCATTCGACTCACCGAGTTGAAACTTTTTTTTGATACAGCAGTTTTGAAACACTCTGTAGAACCTGAAAGTGGATATTTGGAACTCTTTGAGGGCTATGACGGAAAAGAAAATATATTCACATTAAAGTAGACAGCAGCATTCTCAGAAACTTCTTTAGGATGTTTGCAGTAAACTCACAGAGTTGAACATACCTTTCCGAAGAGCAGTTTTGAAACACTCTGTTTGTGGGATCCGCAAGTGGATATTTGGACCGCTTTGAGACCTTTGCTGGAAATGGGAATATCTTCACATATAAACTAGACAGAAGCATTCTCAAAAACTTCTTCGTGATGTGTGCATTCTACTCCCAAATTTGAATCTTCCTTTTCATGAAGCAGTTTTGAAACACTCTATTTCTGCAATCTACAATTGGATAATTGGAACGCTTTGATGCCCAAGGTAGAAAAGGAAATATCCTCATATAAAAACTTGACAGAAGGATTCACAGAAAATGCTTTGTGATGTGTGCATTCAAATCACGGGGTTGAATCTTTCTTTTGTTAGAGCCGTTTTGAAACACTGTTTCTGTGGAATCTGCCAGCGGACACTTGGAGCGCTTTGAGGGCCATGGTGGAGAAGGAAATATCTTTCCATAAAAACTAAAAAGAAGCATTCTCAGAAACATTTATGTGAAGCGTGTATTCAACTCACAGAGTTGAACCTTCCTTTTGATAGAACAGTTTTGAAACACTCTTTTGAACAATTGCAGGTGAATCTTTGGAGCGCTTTGAAGCCTTTGTTGGAAATGGGAATATCTTCACACACAAACTAGCCAGAAGCATTCTGAGAAACTTCTTTGTGATGTGTGCGTTGAACCCAGAGAGATGAACGTTTCCTTTGATAGAGCAGTTTTGAAACGTGTTTTTTTAAGATCTGCAAGCGGATAATTGGCTTCGCTTTGTGTCCTTTGGTGGAAACGGGAATATCTTCTAATAAAAACTAGACAGAAATATTCTCAGAATCTCCTTTGTGATGTGGGCATTTAACTAACACAGTTGAACATTTCTTTTCACAGAGCAGTTTTGAGACACTCTTTTGGTAGAATCTGCCAGTGGATATTTGGAGCGCTTTGAGGGCTGTTGTGCCAATGGAAATATCTGCCCCTAAAATCTAGACAGAAGCATTCTCAGAAACTACTTCGTGATGTTTGCATTCAACACACAGAGTTGAACATACCTCTTCACAGAGCAGTTTTGAAAACCTCTTTCTGTAGAATCTGCAAGTGGATATTCGGACCACTTTGAGGTCATCATAGGAAACAGTAATATCTTCACATAAAAACTAGATAGAAGCATTGTCAGAAAGTACTTTGTGATGTGTGAATTCAACTCACAGAGTTGAACCTTCCTTTAATAGAGCAGTTGTGAAACACTCTTTTTCTAGAATCTGCAAGTAGATATTTGGAGCGCTTTGAGGCCTTCGTTGGAAACCGGAATATCTTCACAGGAAAATTAGATAGAGGCATTCTCAGAAACTTTTTTGTGATATGTAGATTCAACTCACAGTGTTGAACCTTTCTTTGGATGGAGCAGTTTTGAAAAACTCTTTTATCGAATCTGCAGGTAGACATTTGGGGTGCTTTGAGGGCTCTGGTGCAAAAGGAAAAGTCTTCCCATAGAAACTAGACTGAAGCATTCTCAGCAACTTCTTGGTGACGTTTGCATTCATCTCACAGTGTTGAACATACCTCTCCATAGAGTGGTTTTGAAACACTGTTTTTGTAGTATCGGCAAGTGGATATTTGGACTGCTTTGAGGCCTTCATCGGAAACGGGAATATCTTCACATAAACACTAGAGAGAAGCATTCTCAGAAACTTCTTTGTCATCTGTCCATTCAACTCACAGAGTTGAACCTTCCTTTTTATGGAGCAGATTTGAAACACTCCTTTTGGAGAATCTGCAAGTGGATATTTGGAGCGCTTTGAGGCCTATGGTAGAAAAAGAAATATCTGCTTCTAAAAACCAGACAGAAGCATTCCGAGAAACTTCTCTGTGATGTTTGCATTCAAGTAGCAGAGTTGAACCTTCCTTTTGATAGGGCAGTTTGGAAACACTCTTTTTGTAGAATCTGCATGTGGATATCTGGAGCGGTTTGAGGCCTACGGTCAAAAAGGAAATATCTTCCTGGGAAAAATAGACGAAAGCATTCTCAGAAAGGGCTTTGTGATATGCGCATTCGACTCACCGAGTTGAAACTTTTTTTTGATACAGCAGTTTTGTAACACTCTGTAGAATCTGAAAGTGGATATTTGGAGCTCTTTGAGGGCTATGGCGGAAAAGAAAATATATTCACATTAAAGTTGACAGCAGCATTCTCAGAAACTTCTTTAGGATGTTTGCAGTAAACTCAAGGAATTGAACATACCTTTCCGTAGAGCAGTTTTGAAACACTCTGTTTGTGGGATCCGCAAGTGGATATTTGGACAGCTTTGAGACCTTTGCTGGAAATGGGAAAATCTTCACATATAAACTAGACAGAAGCATTCTCAGAAACTTCTTCGTGATGTGTGCATTCTCCTCCCGAATTTGAATCTTCCTTTTCCTGAAGCAGTTTTGAAACACTCTGTTTGTGCAATCCACAATTGGATAATTGGAACGCTTTGATGCCCATGGTAGAAAAGGAAATATCCTCATATAAAAACTAGACAGAAGGATTCACAGAAAATGCTTTGTGATGTGTGCATTCAAATCACGGAGGTGAATCTTTGTTTTGTTAGAGCAGTTTTGAAACACTGTTTCTGTGGAATCTGCCAGCGGACACTTGGAGCGCTTTGAGGGCTATGGTGGAGAAGGAAATGTCTTCACATAAAAACTAGAAAGAAGCATTCTCAGAAACATGTATGTGAAGCGTGCATTCAACTCACAGAGTTGAACCTTCCTTTTGATACAACAGTTTTGAAACACTCTTTTGAACAATTGCAGGTGAATCTTTGGAGCGCTTTGAAGCCTTTGTTGGAAATGGGAATATCTTCACACACAAACTAGCCAGAAGCATTCTCAGAAACTTCTTTGTGATGTGTGCGTTGAACCCAGAGAGATGAACCTTTCCTTTGATAGAGCAGTTTTGAAACGTGTTTTTGTAAGATCTGCAAGGGGATAATGGGCTTCGCTTTGTGTCCTTTGGTGGAAACGGGAATATCTTCTAATAAAAACTAGACAGAAAATATTCTCAGTATCTCCTTTGTGATGTGGGCATTCAACTAACACAGTTGAACATTTCTTTTCACAGAGCAGTTTTGAAACACTCTTTTGGTAGAATCTGCCAGTGGATATTTGGAGCGCTTGGAGGGCTATTGTGCCAATGGAAATATCTGCCCCTGAAAACTAGACAGAAGCATTCTCAGAAACTACTTCGTCATGTCTGCATTCAACACACAGAGTTGAACATACCTCTTCACAGAGCAGTTTTGAAAACCTCTTTCTGTAGAATCTGCAAGTGGATATTCGGACCACTTTGAGGCCTTCATAGGAAACAGTAATATCTTCACATAAAAACTAGATAGAGGCATTCTCAGAAAGTTTTTTGTGATATGTAGATTCAACTCACAGCATTGAACCTTTCTTTGGATGGAGCAGTTTTGAAAAACCCTTTTATCGAATCTGCAGGTAGACATTTGGGGTGCTTTGAGGGCTGTGGTGCAAAAGGAAATGTCTTCCCATAGAAACTAGACTGAAAGCATTCTCAGCAACTTCTTTGTGACGTTTGCATTCATCTCACAGTGTTGAACATACCTTTCCATAGAGTAGTTTTGAGACACTATTTTTGTAGAATCTGCAAGTGGATATTTGGACTGCTTTGAGGCCTTCATCGGAGACGGGAATATCTTCACATAAACACTAGGCAGAAGCATTCTCAGAAACTACTTTGTGATCTGTCCATTCAACTCACAGAGTTGAACCTTCCTTTTTATGGAGCAGTTTTGAAACACTGTTTTTGGAGAATCTGCAAGTGGATATTTGGAGCGCTTTGAGGCTTATGGTAGAAAAAGAAATATCTGCCTCTAAAAACTAGACAGAAGCATTCTGAGAAACTTCTTTGTGATGTTTGCATTCAACTACCAGAGTTGAATCTTCCTTTTGATAGGGCAGTTTGGAAACACTCTTTTTGTAGAATCTGCATGTGGATATCTGGAGCGATTTGAGGCCTATGGTCAAAAAGGAAATATCTTGCCTGGGAAAAATAGACGAAAGCATTCTCAGAAACTGCTTCGTGATATGTGCATTCGACTCACCGAGTTGAAACTTTTTTTTGATAGAGCAGTTTTGAAACACCCTGTAGAATCTGAAAGTGGATATTTGGAGCTCTTTGAGGGCTATGGCGGAAAAGAAAAGATATTCACATTAAGCTAGACAGCAGCATTCTCAGAAACCTCTTTAGGATGTTTGCAGTAAACTCACAGAGTTGAACATACCTTTCCTTAGAGCAGTTTTGAAACACTCTGTTTGTGGGATCCGCAAGTGGATATTTGGACCGCTTTGAGACCTTTGCTGGAAATGGGAATATCTTCACATATAAACTAGACAGAAGCATTCTCAGAAACTTCTTCGTGATGTGTGCATTCTCCTCCCGAATTTGAATCTTCCTTTTCATGAAGCAGTTTTGAAACACTCTGTTTGTGCAATCCACAATTGGATAATTGGAACGCTTTGATGCCCATGGTAGAAAAGGAAATATCCTCATATAAAAATTAGACAGAAGGATTCACAGAAAATGCTTTGTGATGTGTGCATTCAGATCACGGAGTTGAATCTTTCTTTTGTTAGAGCAGTTTTGAAACACCGTTTCTGTGGAATCTGCCAGCGGACACTTGGAGCGCTTTGAGGGCTATGGTGGAGAAGGAAATATCTTCACATAAAAACTAGAAAGAAGCATTCTCAGAAACATTTATGTGAAGCGTGCATTCAACTCACAGAGTTGAACCTTCGTTTTGATAGAACAGTTTTGAAACACTCTTTTGAACAATTACAGGTGAATCTTTGGAGCGCTTTGAAGCCTTTGTTGGAAATGGGAATATCTTCACACACAAACTAGCCAGAAGCATTCTCAGAAACTTCTTTGTGATGTGTGCGTTGAACCCAGAGAGATGAACCTTTCCTTGGATAGAGCAGTTTTGAAACGTGTTTTTGTAAGATCTGCAAGCGGATAATTGGCTTCGCTTTGTGTCCTTTGGTGGAAACAGGAATATCTTCTAATAAAAGCTAGACAGAAATATTCTCAGAATCTCCTTTGTGATGTGGGCATTCAACTAACACAATTGAACATTTCTTTTCACAGAGCAGTTTTGAAACACAGTTTTGGTAGAATCTGCCAGTGGATATTTGGAGCACTTGGAGGGCTACTGTGCCAATGGAAATATCTGCCCCTGAAAATTAGACAGAAGCATTCTCAGAAACTACATTCTGATGTTTGCATTCGACTCACAGAGTTGAACATACCTCTTCATAGAGCCGTTTTGAAAACCTTTTTTGTAGAATCTGAAAGTGGATATTCGGACCACTTTGAGGCCTTCATAGGAAACAGTAATATCTTCACATAAAAACTAGATAGAAGCATTGTCAGAAAGTTCTTGGTGATGTGTGAATTCAACTCACAGAGTTGAACCTTCCTTTAATAGAGCAGTTTTGAAACACTCTTTTTCTAGAATCTGCAAGTAGATACTTGGAGCGCTTTGAGGCCTTCGTTGGAAACCGGAATATCTTCACAGGAAAAGTAGATAGAGGCATTCTCAGAAACTTTTTTGTGATATGTAGATTCAACTCACAGCGTTGAACCTTTCTTTTGATAGAGCAGTTTTGAAAAACTCTTTTATCGAATCTGCAAGTAGACATTTGGAGTGCTTTGAGGGCTGTGGTGCAAAAGGAAATGTCTTCCCATAGAAACTAGACTGAAGCATTCTCAGCAACTTCTTTGTGACGTTTGCATTCATCTCACAGGGTTGAACATACCTTTGCATAGAGTAGTTTTGAAACACTGTTTTTGTAGAATCTGCAAGTGGATATTTGGACTGCTTTGAGGCCTTCATCGGAAACGGGAATATCTTCACATAAACACTAGACAGAAGCATTCTCAGAAACTTCTTTGTGATCTGTCCATTCAACTCACAGAGTTGAACCTTCCTTTTTATGGAGCAGTTTTGAATCACTGTTTTTGGAGAATCTGCAAGTGGATATTTCGAGCGCTTTGAGGCCTATGGTAGAAAAAGAAATATCTGCCTCTAAAAACCAGACAGAAGCATTCCGAGAAACTTCTCTGTGATGTTTGCATTGAACTAGCAGAGTTGAACCTTCCTTTTGATAGGGCAGTTTGGAAACACTCTTTTTGTAGAATCTGCATGTGGATATCTGGAGCGGTTTGAGGCCTACGGTCAAAAAGGAAATATCTTCCTGGGAAAAATAGACGAAATCATTCTCAGAAACTACTTTGTGTTATGTGCATTCAACTCACAGAGTTGAACCTTTTTTTTGATAGAGCAGTTTTGAAACACTCTGTAGAATCTGAAAGTGGATATTTGGAGCTCTTTGAGGGCTATGGTGGAAAAGAAAATATATTCACATTAAACTAGACAGAAGCATTCTCAGTAACTTCTTTAGGATGTTTGCAGTAAACTCACAGAGTTGAACATACCTTTCCGTAGAGCAGTTTTGAAACACTCTGTTTGTGGGATCCGCAAGGGGATATTTGGACCGCTTTGAGACCTTTGCTGGAAATGGGAATATCTTCACATATAAACTAGACAGAAGCATTCTCAGAAACTTCTTCGTGATGTGTGCATTCTCCTCCCAAATTTGAATCTTCCTTTTCATGAAGCAGTTTTGAAACACTCTGTTTGTGCAATCCACAATTGGATAATTGGAACGCTTTGATGCCCATGGTAGAAAAGGAAATATCCTCATATAAAAACTAGACAGAAGGATTCACAGAAAATGCTTTGTGATGTGTGCATTCAAATCATGGAGTTGAATCTTTCTTTTGTCAGAGCAGTTTTGAAACACTGTTTCTGTGGAATCTGCCAGCGAACACTTGGAGCGCTTTGAGGGCTATGGTGGAGAAGGAAATATCTTCCCATAAAAACTAGAAAGAAGCATTCTCAGAAACATTTATGTGAAGCATGCATTCAACTCACAGAGTTGAACCTTCCTTTTGATAGAACAGTTTTGAAACACTCTTTTGAACAATTGCAGGTGAATCTTTGGAGCGCTTTGAAGCCTTTGTTGGAAATGGGAATATCTTCACACACAAACTAGCCAGAAGCATTCTCAGAAACTTCTTTGTGATGTGTGCGTTGAACCCAGCAGAGATGAACCTTTCCTTGGATAGAGCAGTTTTGAAACGTGTTTTTGTAAGATCTGCAAGCGGATAATTGGCTTCGCTTTGTGTCCTTTGGTGGAAACGGGAATATCTTCTAATAAAAACTAGACAGAAATATTCTCAGAATCTTCTTTGTGATGTGGGCATTCAACTAACACAGTTGAACATTTCTTTTCACAGAGCAGTTTTGAAACACTCTTTTGGTAGAATCTGCCAGTGGATATTTGGAGCGCTTTGAAGACTATTGTGCCAATGGAAATATCTGCCCCTAAAAACTAGACAGAAGCATTCTCAGAAACTACTTCGTGATGTTTGCATTCAACACACAGAGTTGAACATACCTCTTCACAGAGCAGTTTTGAAAACCTCTTTCTGTAGAATCTGCAAGTGGATATTCGGACCACTTTGAGGCCTTCATAGGAAACAGTAATATCTTCACATAAAAACTACATAGAAGCATTGTCAGAAAGTTCTTTGTGATGTGTGAATTCAACTCACAGAGTTGAACCTTCCTTTAATAGAGCAGTTTTGAAACACTCTTTTTCTAGAATCTGCAAGTAGATATTTGGAGCGCTTTGAGGCCTTCGATGGAAACCGGAATATCTTCACAGGAAAAGTAGATAGAGGCATTCTCACGAAACTTTTTTGTGATATGTAGATTCAACTCACAGCGTTGAACCTTTCTTTGGATGGAGCAGTTTTGAAAAACTCTTTTATCGAATCTGCAGGTAGACATTTGGGGTGCTTTGAGGGCTGTGGTGCAAAAGGAAATGTCTTCCAATAGAAACTAGACTGAAGCATTCTCAGCAACTTCTTTGTGACGTTTGCATTCATCTCACAGTGTTGAACATACCTTTCCATCGAGTACTTTTGAAACACTGTTTTTGTAGAATCTGCAAGTGGATATTTGGACTGCTTTGAGGCCTTCATCGGAAACGGGAATATCTTCACATAAACACTAGAGAGAAGCATTCTCAGAAACTTCTTTGTGGTCTGTCCATTCAACTCACAGTGTTGAACCTTCCTTTTTATGGAGCAGTTTTGAAACCCTGTTTTTGGAGAATCTGCAAGTGGATATTTGGAGCGCTTTGAGGCCTATGGTAGAAAAAGAAATATCTGCCTATGACAACTAGACAGAAGCATTCTGAGAAACTTCTTTGTGATGTTTGCATTCAACTAGCAGAGTTGAACCTTCCTTTTGATAGGGCAGTTTGGAAACACTCTTTTTGTAGAATCTGCATGTGGATATCTGGAGCGGTTTGAGGCCTACGGTCAAAAAGGAAATATCTTCCTGGGAAAAATAGACGAAAGCATTCTCAGAAAGTGCTTTGTGATATGTGCATTCGACTCACCGAGTTGAAACTTTTTTTTGATAGAGCAGTTTTGAAACACTCTGTAGAATCTGAAAGTGGATATTTGGAGCTCTTTGAGGGCTATGGCAGAAAAGAAAATATATTCACATTAAAGTAGACAGCAGCATTCTCAGAAACTTCTTTAGGATGTTTGCAGTAAACTCACAGAGTTGAACATACCTTTCCAAAGAGCAGTTTTGAAACACTCTGTTTGTGGGATCCGCAAGTGGATATTTGGGCCGCTTTGAGACCTTTGCTGGAAATGGGAATATCTTCACATATAAACTACACAGAAGCATTCTCAGAAACTTCTTCGTGATGTGTGCATTCTACTCCCAAATTTGAATCTTCCTTCTCATGAAGCAGTTTTGAAACACTCTGTTTGTGCAATCTACAATTGGATAATTGGAACGCTTTGATGCCCATGGTAGAAAAGGAAATATCCTCATATAAAAACTAGACAGAAGGATTCACAGAAAATGCTTTGTGATGTGTGCATTCAAATCACGGTGTTGAATCTTATTTTGTTAGAGCAGTTTTGAAACACTGTTTCTGTGGAATCTGCCCGCGGACACTTGGAGCGCTTTGAGGGCTGTGGTGGAGAAGGGAATATCTTCCCATAAAAACTAGAAAGAAGCATTCTCAGAAACATTTATGTGAAGCGTGCATTCAACTCACAGAGTTGAACCTTCCTTTTGATACAACAGTTTTGAAACACTCTTTGGAACAATTGCAGGTGAATCTTTGGAGCGCTTTGAAGCCTTTGTTGGAAATGGGAATATCTTCACACACAAACTAGCCAGAAGCATTCTCAGAAAATTCTTTGTGATGTGTGCGTTGAACCCAGAGAGATGAACCTTTCCTTTGATAGAGCAGTTTTGAAGCGTGTTTTTGTAAGATCGGCAAGCGGATAATTGGCTTCGCTTTGTGTCCTTTGGTGGAAACGGGAATATCTTCTAATAAAAACTAGACAGAAATATTCTCAGAATCTTCTTTGTGATGTGGGCATTCAACTAACACAGTTGAACCTTTCTTTTCACAGAGCAGTTTTGAAACAACCTTTTGGTAGAATCTGCCAGTGGATATTTGGAGCGCTTTGAGGGCTATTGTGCCAACGGAAATATCTGCCCCTAAAAACTAGACAGAAGCATTCTCTGAAACTACTTTGTGATGTTTGCATTCAACTCACAGAGTTGAACATACCTCTTCATAGAGCAGTTTTGAAAACCTCTTTTTGTAGAATCTGCAAGTGGATATTCGGACCACTTTGAGGCCTTCATAGGAAACAGTAATACCTTCACATAAAAACTAGATAGAAGCATAGTCAGAAAGTTCTTTGTGATGTGTGAATTCAAATCACAGAGTTGAACCTTCCTTTAATAGAGCAGTTTTGAAACACTCTTTTTCTAGAATCTGCAAGTAGATATTTGGAGCGCTTTGAGGCCTTCGTTGGAAACCGGAATATCCTCACATAAAAAGCAGATAGAGGCATTCTCAGAAACTTTTTCGTGATATGTGGATTCAACTCACAGCGTTGAACCTTTCTTTTGATAGAGCAGTTTTGTAAAACTCTTTTATCGAATCTGCAAGTAGACATTTGGAGTGCTTTGAGGGTTGTGGTGCAAAAGGAAATGTCTTCCCATAGGAACTAGACTGAAGCATTCTCAGCAACTTCTTGGTGACGTTTGCATTCATCTCACAGTGTTGAACATACCTTTCCATAGAGTGGTTTTGAAACACTGTTTCTGTAGAATCGGCAAGTGGATATTTGGACTGCTTTGAGGCCTTCATCGGAAATGGGAATATCTTCACATAAACACTAGAGAGAAGCATTCTCAGAAACTTCTTTGTGATCTGTCCATTCAACTCACAGAGTTGAACCTTCCTTTTTATGGAGCAGTTTTGAAACACTCTTTTTGGAGAATCTGCAAGTGGATATTTGGAGCGCTTTGAGGCCTATGGTAGAAAAAGAAATATCTGCCTCTAAAAACCAGACAGAAGCATTCCGAGAAACTTCTCTGTGATGTTTGCATTCAACTAGCAGAGTTGAACCTTCCTTTTGATAGGGCAGTTTGGAAACACTCTTTTGTAGAATCTGCATGTGGATATCTGGAGCGGTTTGAGGCCTACGGTCAAAAAGGCAATATCTTCCTGGGAAAAATAGACGAAAGCATTCTCAGAAACTGCTTTGTGATATGTGCATTCCAGTCACCGAGTTGAAACTTTTTTTTGATAGAGCAGTTTTGAAACACTCTGTAGAATCTGAAAGTGGATATTTGGATCTCTTTGAGGGCTATGGCGGAAAAGAAAATATATTCACATTAAAGTAGACAGCAGCATTCCCAGAAACTTCTTTAGGATGTTTGCAGTAAACTCACAGAGTTGAACATACCTTTCCGTAGAGCAGTTTTGAAACACTCTGTTTGTGGGATCCGCAAGTGGATATTTGGACCGCTTTGAGACCTTTGCTGGAAACGGGAATATCTTCACATATCAACTAGACAGAAGCATTCTCAGAAACTTCTTCGTGATGTGTGCATTCTACTCCCGAATTTGAATCTTCCTTTTCATGAAGCAGTTTTGAAACACTCTGTTTGTGCAATCCACAAGTGGATAATTGGAACGCTTTGATGCCCATGGTAGAAAAGGAAATATCCTCATATAAAAATTAGACAGAAGGATTCACAGAAAATGCTTTGTGATGTGTGCATTCGAATCACGGAGTTGAATCTTTCTTTTGTTAGAGCAGTTTTGAAACACAGTTTCTGTGGAATCTGCCAGCGGACACTTGGAGCGCTTTGAGGTCTATGGTGGAGAAGGAAATATCTTCCCATAAAAACTAGAAAGAAGCATTCTCAGAACCATTTATGTGAAGCGTGCATTCAACTCACAGAGTTGAACCTTCCTTTTGATAGAACAGTTTTGAAACACTCTTTTGAACAATTGCAGGTGAATATTTGGAGGGCTTTGAAGCCTTTGTTGGAAACGGGAATATTCTTCACACACGAACTAGCCAGAAGCATTCTCAGAAACTTCTTTGTGATGTGTGCGTTGAACCCAGAGAGATGAACCTTTCCTTTGATAGAGCAGTTTTGAAACGTGTTTTTGTAAGATCTGCAAGCGGATAATTGGCTTCGCATTGTGTCCTTTGGTGGAAACGGGAATATCTTCTAATAAAAACTAGACAGAGATATTCTCAGAAACTTCTTTGTGATGTGGGCATTCAACTAACACAGTTGAACATTTCTTTTCACAGAGCAGTTTTGAAACACTCTTTTGGTCGAATCTGCCAGTGGATATTTGGAGCGCTTTGAGGGCTATTGTGCCAATGGAAATATCTGCCCCTAAAAACTAGACAGAAGCATTCTCAGAAACTACTTCGTGATGTTTGCATTCAACACACAGAGTTGAACATACCTCTTCACAGAGCAGTTTTGAAAACCTCTTTCTGTAGAATCTGCAAGTGGATATTTGGACCACTTTGAGGCCTTCTTAGGAAACAGTAATATCTTCACATAAAAACTAGATAGAAGCATTGTCAGAAAGTTCTTTGTGATGTGTGAATTCAACTCACAGAATTGAACCTTCCTTTAATAGAGCAGTTTTGAAACACTCTTTTTCTAGAATCTGCCAGTAGATATTTGGAGCGCTTTGAGGCCTTCGTTGGAAACCGGAATATCTTCACATAAAACGTAGATAGAGGCATTCTCAGAAACTTTTTCGTGATATGTGGATTCAACTCACAGCGTTGAACCTTTCTTTTGATAGAGCAGTTTTGTAAAACTCTTTTATCGAATCTGCAAGTAGACATTTAGAGTGCTTTGAGGGCTGTGGTGCAAAAGGAAATGTCTTCCCATAGAAACTAGACTGAAGCATTCTCAGCAACTTCTTTGTGACGTTTGCATTCATCTCACAGTGTTGAACATACCTTTCCATACAGTAGTTTTGAAGCACTATTTTTGTAGAATCTCCAAGTGGATATTTGGACTGCTTTGAGGCCTTCATCGGAAACGGGAATATCTTCACATAAACACTAGACAGAAGCATTCTCAGAAACTTCTTTGTGATCTGTCCATTCAACTCACAGAGTTGAACCTTCCTTTTTATGGAGCAGTTTTGAAACACTGTTTTTGGAGAATCTTCAAGTAGATATTTGGAGCGCTTTGTGGCCTATGGTAGAAAAAGAAATATCTGCCTATAACAACTAGACAGAGGCATTCTCAGAAACTTCTTTGTGATGTTTGCATTCAACTCACAGAGTTGAACATACCTCTTCATAGAGCAGTTTTGAAAACCTCTTTTTGTAGAATCTGCAAGTGGATATTTGGACCACTTTGAGGCCTTCATAGAAAACAGTAATATCTTCACATAAAAACTAGATGGAAGCATTCTCAGAAACTGCTTTGTGATATGTGCATTCGACTCACCGAGTTGAAACTTTTTTTGGATAGAGCACTTTTGAAACACTCTGTAGAATCTGAAAGTGGATATTTGGAGCTCTTTGAGGGCTATGGCGGAAAAGAAAAGATATTCACATTAAACTAGACAGCAGCATTCCCAGAAACTTCTTTAGGATGTTTGCAGTAAACTCACAGAGTTGAACATACCTTTCCGTAGAGCAGTTTTGAAACACTCTGTTTGTGGGATCCGCAAGTGGATATTTGGACCCCTTTGAGACCTTTGCTGGAAACGGGAATATCTTCACACATAAACTAGACAGAAGCATTCTCAGAAACTTCTTCGTGATTTGTGCATTGTACTCCCAAATTTGAATCTTCCTTCCCAAGGAGCAGTTTTGAAACACTCTGTTTGTGCAATCTACAATTGGAGAATTGGAACGCTTGGATGCCCGTGGTAGAAAAGGAAATATCCTCATATAAAAACTAGACAGAAGGATTCACAGAAAATGCTTTGTGATGTGTGCATTCAGATCACGGAGTTGAATCTTTCTTTTGTTAGAGCAGTTTTGAAACACTGTTTCTGTGGAATCTGTCAGCAGACACTTGGAGTGCTTTGAGGGCTATGGTGGAGAAGGAAATATCTTCACATAAAAACTAGAAAGAAGCATTCTCAGAAACATTTATGTGAAGCTTGCATTCAACTCACAGAGTTGAACCTTCCCTTTGATACAACAGTTTTGAAACACCCTTTTGAACAATTGCAGGTGAATCTTTGGAGCGCTTTGAAGCCTTTGTTGGAAATGGGAATATCTTCACACACAAACTAGCCAGAAGCATTCTCAGAAACTTCTCGTGATGTGTGCGTTGAACCCAGAGAGATGAACCTTTCCTATGATAGAGCAGTTTTGAAACGTGTTTTTGTAAGATCTGCAAGCGGATAATTGGCTTCGCTTTGTGTCCTTTGGTGGAAACGGGAATATCTTCTAATAAAAACTAGACAGAGATATTCTCAGAAACTTCTTTGTGATGTGGGCATTCAACTAACACAGTTGAACATTGCTTTTCACAGAGCAGTTTTGAAACACTCTTTTGGTCGAATCTGCCAGTGGATATTTGGAGCGCTTTGAGGGCTATTGTGCCAATGGAAATATCTGCCCCTAAAAACTAGACAGAAGCATTCTCAGAAACTGCTTTGTGATGTTTGCATTCAACTCACAGAGTTGAACATACCTCTTCATAGAGCAGTTTTGAAAACCTCTTTTTGTAGAATCTGCAAGTGGATATTTGGACCACTTTGAGGCCTTCATAGATACAGTAATATCTTCACATAAAAACTAGATGGAAGCATTGTCAGAAAGTTCTTTGTGATGTGTGAATTCAACTCACAGAGTTGAACCTTCCTTTAATAGAGCAGTTTTGAAACACTCTTTTTCTAGAATCTGCCAGTAGATATTTGGAGCGCTTTGAGGCCTTCGTTGGAAACCGGAATATCTTCACATAAAACGTAGATAGAGGCATTCTCAGAAACTTTTTTTGTGATATGTAGATTCAACTCACAGCGTTGAACCTTTCTTTGGATGGAGCAGTTTTGAAAAACCCTTTTATCGAATCTGCAGGTAGACATTCGGGGTGCTTTGAGGGCTGTGGTGCAAAAGGAAATGTCTTCCCATAGAAACTAGACTGAAGCATTCTCAGCAACTTCTTTGTGACGTTTGCATTCATCTCACAGTGTTGAACATACCTTTCCATAGAGTAGTTTTGAAGCACTATTTTTGTAGAATCTGCAAGTGGATATTTGGACTGCTTTCAGGCCTTCATCGGAAACGGGAATATCTTCACATAAACACTAGACAGAAGCATTCTCAGAAACTTCTTTGTGGTCTGTCCATTCAACTCACAGAGTTGAACCTTCCTTTTTATGGAGCAGTTTTGAAACCCTGTTTTTGGAGAATCTGCAAGTGGATATTTGGAGTGCTTTGAGGCCTATGGTAGAAAAAGAAATATCTGCCTATGACAGCTAGACAGAAGCATTCCGAGAAACTTCTTTGTGATGTTTGCATTCAACTAGCAGAGTTGAACCTTCCTTTTGATAGGGCAGTTTGGAAACACTCTTTTTGTAGAATCTGCATGTGGATATCTGGAGCGGTTTGAGGCCTACGTTCAAAAAGGAAATATCTTCCTGGGAAAAATAGACGAAAGCATTCTCAGAAAGTGCTTTGTGATATGTGCATTCGACTCACCGAGCTGAAACTTTTTTTTGATAGAGCAGTTTTGAAACACTCTGTAGAATCTGAAAGTGGATATTTGGAGCTCTTTGAGGGCTATGGCGGAAAAGAAAATATATTCACATTAAAAAAGTAGACAGCAGCATTCTCAGAAACTTCTTTAGGATGTTTGCAGTAAACTCACAGAGTTGAACATACCTTTCCGTAGAGCAGTTTTGAAACACTCTGTTTGTGGGATCCGCAAGTGGATATTTGGACCGCTTTGAGACCTTTGCTGGAAATGGGAATAACTTCACATATAAACTAGACAGAAGCATTCTCAGAAACTTCTTCGTGATGTGTGCATTCTACTCCCAAATTTGAATCTTCCTTTTCATGAAGCAGTTTTGAAACACTCTGTTTCTGCCATCTACAATTGGATAATTGGAACGCTTTGATGCCCAAGGTAGAAAAGGAAATATCCTCATATAGAAACTAGACAGAAGGATTCACAGAAAATGCTTTGTGATGTGTGCATTCAAATCACCGGAGTTGAATCTTTCTTTTGTTAGAGCAGTTTTGAAACACTGTTTCTGTGGAATCTGCCAGCGGACACTTGGAGCGCTTTGAGGGCTGTGGTGGAGAAGGAAATATCTTCCCATAAAAACTAGAAAGAAGCATTCTCAGAAACATTTATGTGAAGCGTGCATTCAACTCACAGAGTTGAACCTTCCTTTTGATACAACAGTTTTGAAACACTCTTTTGTACAATTGCATGTGAATCTTTGGAGCGCTTTGAAGCCTTTGTTGGAAATGGGAATATCTTCACACACAAACTAGCCAGAAGCATTCTCAGAAACTTCTTTGTGATGTGTGCGTTGAACCCAGAGAGATGAACCTTTCCTTTGATAGAGCAGTTTTCAAACGTGTTTTTGTAAGATCGGCAAGCGGATAATTGGCTTCGCTTTGTGTCCTTTGGTGGAAACGGGAATATCTTCTAATAAAAACTAGACAGAAATATTCTCAGAATCTCCTTTGTGATGTGGGCATTCAACTAACACAGTTGAACATTTCTTTTCACAGAGCAGTTTTGAAACACTCTTTTGGTAGAATCTGCCAGTGGATATTTGGAGCGATTTGAGGGCTATTGTGCCAATGGAAATTTCTGCCCCTGAAAACTAGACAGAAGCATTCTCAGAAACTGCTTTGTGATGTTTGCATTCAACTACCAGAGTTGAACTTCCCTCTTCATAGAGCAGTTTTGAAATCCTCTTTTTGTAGAATCTGCAAGTGGATATTTGGACCACTTTGAGGCCTTCAGAGTAAATAGTAATATCTTCACATAAAAACTAGATAGAAGCATTCTCAGAAACTTCTTTGTGATGTGTGAATTCAACTCACAGAGTTGAACCTTCCTTTAATAGTGCAGTTTTCAAACACTCTTTTTGTAGAATCTGCAAGTAGATATTTGGAGCACTTTGAGGCCTTCATTGGAAACTGGAATATCTTCACATAAATAGTAGATAGAGGCATTCTCAGAAACTTTTTTGTTATATGTAGATTCAACTCACAGTGTTGAAGCTTTCTTTTGATTGAACAGTTTTGAAGAACTCTTTTATCGAATCTGCAAGTAGACATTTGGAGTTCTTTGAGGGCTGTAGTCGAAAAGGAAATATCATCACATAGAAACTAGACTGAAGCATTCTCAGCAACTTCTTGGTGACGTTTGCATTCATCTCACAGTGTTGAACATACCTTTCCATAGAGTGGTTTTGAAACACTGTTTTTGTAGAATCGGCAAGTGGATATTTGGACTGCTTTGAGGCCTTCATCGGAAACGGGAATATACTTCACATAAACACTAGAGAGAAGCATTCTCAGAAACTTCTTTGTCATCTGTCCATTCAACTCACAGAGTTGAACCTTCCTTTTTCTGGAGCAGTTTTGAAACACTCCTTTTGGAGAATCTGCAAGTGGATATTTGGAGCGCTTTGAGGCCTATGGTAGAAAAAGAAATATCTGCCTCTAAAAACCAGACAGAAGCATTCCAAGTAAACTTCTCTGTGTTGTTTGCATTCAACTAGCAGAGTTGAACCTTCCTTTTGATAGGGCAGTTTGGAAACACTCTTTTTGTAGAATCTGCATGTGGATATCTGGAGCGGTTTGAGGCCTACGGTCAAAAAGGAAATATCTTCCTGGGATAAATAGACGAAAGCATTCTCAGAAACTGCTTTGTGATATGGGCATTCGACTCACCGAGTTGAAACTTTTTTTTGATAGAGCAGTTTTGAAACACTCTATAGAATCTGAAAGTGGATATTTGGAGCTCTTTGAGGGCTATGGCGGAAAAGAAAATATATTCACATTAAAGTAGACAGCAGCACTCCCAGAAACTTCTTTAGGATGTTTACAGTAAACTCACAGAGTTGAACATACCTTTCTGTAGAGCAGTTTTGAAACACTCTGTTTGCGGGATCCGCAAGTGGATATTTGGACCGCTTTGAGACCTTTGCTGGAAATGGGAATATCTTCACATATGAACTAGACAGAAGCATTCTCAGAAACTTCTTCGTGATGTGTGCATTCTACTCCCAAATTTGAATCTTCCTTTTCATGAAGCAGTTTTGAAACACTCTGTTTGTGCAATCCACAATTGGATAATTGGAAAGCTTTGATGCCCATGGTAGAAAAGGAAATATCCTCATATAAAAACTAGACAGAAGGATTCACAGAAAATTCTTTGTGATGTGTGCATTCAAATCACGGAGTTGAATCTTTCTTTTGTTAGAGCAGTTTTGAAACACTGTTTCTGTGGAATCTGCCAGCGGACACTTGGAGCGCTTTGAGGGCTATGGTGGAGAAGGAAATATCTTCACATAAAAACTAGAAAGAAATATTCTCAGAATCTTCTTTGTGATGTGGGCATTCAACTAACACAGTTGAACATTTCTTTTCACAGAACAGTTTTGAAACACTCTTTTGAACAATTGCAGGTGAATCTTTGGAACGCTTTGAAGCCTTTGTTGGAAATAGGAATATATTCACACACAAACTAGCCAGAAGCATTCTCAGAAATTTCTTTGTGATGTGTGCGTTGAACCCAGAGAGATGAACCTTTCCTTCGATAGAGCAGTTTTGAAACGTGTTTTTGTAAGATCGGCAAGCGGATAATTGGCTTCGCTTTGTGTCCTTTGGTGGAAACGGGAATATCTTCTAATAAAAACTAGACAGAAATATTCTCAGAATCTCCTTTGTGATGTGGGCATTCAACTAACACAGTTGAACATTTCTTTTCACAGAGCAGCTTTGAAACACTCTTTGGTAGAATCTGCCGGTGGATATTTGGAGCGCTTGGAGGGCTATTGTGCCAGTGGAGATATCTGCCCCTGAAAACTAGACAGAAGCATTCTCAGAAACTACTTCGTGATGTTTGCATTCAACACACAGAGTTGAACATACCTCTTCACAGAGCAGTTTTGAAAACCTCTTTCTGTAGAATCTGCAAGTGGATATTCGGACCACTTTGAGGACTTCATAGGAAACAGTAATATCTTCACATAAAAACTAGATAGAAGCATTGTCAGAAAGTTCTTTGTGATGTGTGAATTCAACTCACAGAGTTGAACCTTCCTTTAATAGAGCAGTTTTGAAACACTTTTTTTCTGGAATCTGCAAGTAGATATTTGGAGCGCTTTGAGGCCTTCGTTGGAAACCGGAGTATCTTCACAGGAAAAGTAGATAGAGGCATGCTCAGAAACTTTTTTGTCATATGTAGATTCAACTCACAGCGTTGAACCTTTCTTTTGATAGAGCAGTTTTGAAAAACTCTTTTATCGAATCTGCAAGTAGACATTTGGAGTGCTTTGACGGCTCTGGTGCAAAAGGAAATGTCTTCCCATAGAAAGTAGACTGAAGCATTCTCAGCAACTTCTTGGTGACGTTTGCATTCATCTCACAGTGTTGAACATACCTTTCCATAGAGTGGTTTTGAAACACTGTTTTTGTAGAATCGGCAACTGGATATTTGGACTGCTTTGAGGCCTTCATCGGAAACGGGAATATCTTCACATAAACACTAGAGAGAAGCATTCTCAGAAACTTCTTTGTCATCTGTCCATTCAACTCACAGAGTTGAACCTTCCTTTTTATAGAGCAGTTTTGAAACACTCCTTTTGGAGAATCCGCAAGTGGATATTTGGAGCGCTTTGAGGCCTATGGTAGAAAAAGAAATATCTGCCTCTAAAAACCAGACAGAAGCATTCTGAGAAACTTCTTTGTGATGTTTGCATTCAACTACCAGAGTTGAACCTTCCTTTTCATAGGGCAGTTTGGAAACACTCTTTTTGTAGAATCTGCATGTGGATATCTGGAGCGATTTGAGGCCTACGGTCAAAAAGGAAATATCTTCCTGGGAAAAATAGACGAAAGCATTCTCAGAAAGTGCTTTGTGATATGTGCATTCGACTCACCGAGTTGAAACTTTTTTTTGATAGAGCAGTTTTGAAACACTCTGCAGAATCTGAAAGTGGATATTTGGAGCTCTTTGAGGGCTTAGGCGGAAAAGAAAATATATTCACATTAAAGTAGACAGCAGCATTCTCAGAGACTTCTTTAGGATGTTTGCAGTAAACTCACAGAGTTGAACATACCTTTCCGTAAAGCAGTTTTGAAACCCTCTGTTTGTGGGATCTGCAAGTGGATATTTGGACCGCTCCGAGACCTTTGCTGGAAATGGGAATATCTTCACATATAAACTAGACAGAAGCATTCTCAGAAACTTCTTGGTGATGTGTGCATTGTACTCCCAAATTTGAATCTTCCTTCTCATGGAGCAGTTTTGAAACACTCTGTGCAATCTACAATTGGAGAATTGGAACGCTTGGATGCCCGTGGTAGAAAAGGAAATATCCTCATATAAAAACTAGACAGAAGGATTCACAGAAAATGCTTTGTGATGTGTGCATTCAGATCACGGAGTTGAATCTTTCTTTTGTTAGAGCAGTTTTGAAACACTGTTTCTGTGGAATCTGCCAGCGGACACTTGGAGCGCTTTTAGGGCTATGGTGGAGAAGGAAATATCTTCACATAAAAACTAGAAAGAAGCATTCTCAGAACCATTTATGTGAAGCGTGCATTCAACTCACAGAGTTGAACCTTCCTTTTGATAGAACAGTTTTGAAACACTCTTTTGAACAATTGCAGGTGAATATTTGGAGGGCTTTGAAGCCTTTGTTGGAAACGGGAATATCTTCACACACGAACTAGCCAGAAGCATTCTCAGAAACTTCTTTGTGATGTGTGCGTTGAACCCAGAGAGATGAACCATTCCTTTGATAGAGCAGTTTTGAAACGTGTTTTTGTAAGATCTGCAAGCGGATAGTTGGCTTCGCTTTGTGTCCTTTGGTGGAAACGGGAATATCTTCTAATAAAAACTAGACAGAAATATTCTCACAATCTCCTTTGTGATGTGGGCATTCAACTAACACAGTTGAACATTTCTTTTCACAGAGCAGTTTTGAGACACTCTTTTGGTAGAATCTGTCAGTGGATATTTGGAGCGCTTTGAGGGTTGTTGTGCCAATGGAAATATCTGCCCCTAAAATCTAGACAGAAGCATTCTCAGAAACTGCTTCGTGATGTTTGCATTCAACTCACAGACTTGAACATACCTCTTCATAGAGCAGTTTTGAAAACCTCTTTTTGTAGAATCTGCAAGTGGATATTCGGACCACATTGAGGCCTTCATAGGAAACAGTAATATCTTCACATAAAAACTAGATAGAAGCATTGTCAGAAAGTTCTTTGTGATGTGTGAATTCAACTCACAGATTTGAACCTTCCTTTAATAGAGCAGTTTTGAAACACACTTTTTCTAGAATCTGCAAGTAGATATTTGGAGCGCTTTGAGGCCTTCGTTGGAAACCGGAATATCTTCACAGGAAAAGTAGATAGAGGCATTCTCAGAAACTTTTTCGTGATATGTGGATTCAACTCACAGCGTTGAACCTTTCTTTTGATAGAGCAGTTTTGTAAAACTCTTTTATCGAATCTGCAAGTAGACATTTGGAGTGCTTTGAGGGCTGTGGTGCAAAAGGAAATGTCTTCCCATAGAAACTAGACTGAAGCATTCTCAGCAACTTCTTGGTGACGTTTGCATTCATCTCACAGTGTTGAACATACCTTTCCATAGAGTGGTTTTGAAACACTGTTTTTGTAGAATCGGCAAGTGGATATTTGGACTGCTTTGAGGCCTTCATCGGAAACGGGAATATCTTCTCATAAACACTAGAGAGAAGCATTCTCAGAAACTTCTTTGTGATCTGCCCATTCAACTCACAGAGTTGAACCTTCCTTTTTATGGAGCAGTTTTGAAACACTGTTTTTGGAGAATCTGCAAGTGGATATTTGGAGCGCTTTGAGGCCTATGGTAGAAAAAGAAATATCTGCCTCTAAAAACTAGACAGAAGCATTCCGAGAAACTTCTTTGTGATGTTTGCATTCAACTAGCAGAGTTGAACCTTCCTTTTGATAGGGCAGTTTGGAAACACTCTTTTTGTAGAAGCTGCATGTGGATATCTGGAGCGGTTTGAGGCCTACGGTCAAAAAGGAAATATCTTCCTGGGAAAAATAGACGAAAGCATTCTCAGAAAGTGCTTTGTGATATGTGCATTCGACTCACCGAGTTGAAATTTTTTTTTGATAGAGCAGTTTTGAAACACTCTGTAGAATCTGAAAGTGGATATTTGGAGCTCTTTGAGGGCTATGGCGGCAAAGAAACTATATTCACATTAAAGTAGACAGCAGCATTCTCAGAAACTTCTTTAGGATGTTTGCAGTAAAGTCACAGAGTTGAACATACCTTTCCGTAGAGCAGTTTTGAAACACTCTGTTTGTGGGATCCGCAAGTGGATATTTGGACCGCTTTGAGACCTTTGCTGGAAATGGGAATATCTTCACATATAAACTAGACAGAAGCATTCTCAGAAACTTCTTCGTGATGTGTGCATTGTACTCCCAAATTTGAATCTTCCTTCTCATGGAGCAGTTTTGAAACACACTGTTTGTGCAATCTACAATTGGAGAATTGGAACGCTTGGATGCCCGTGGTAGAAAAGGAAATATCCTCATATAAAAACTAGACAGAAGGATTCACAGAAAATGCTTTGTGATGTGTGCATTCAAATCACGGAGTTGAATCTTTCTTTTGTCAGAGCAGTTTTGAAACACTGTTTCTGTGGGATCTGCCAGCGGACACTTGGAGCGCTTTGAGGGCTGTGGTGGAGAAGGAAATATCTTCCCATAAAAACTAGAAAGAAGCATTCTCAGAAACATTTATGTGAAGCGTGCATTCAACTCACAGAGTTGAACCTTCCTTTGGATACAACAGTTTTGAAACACTCTTTTGAACAATTGCAGGTGAATCTTTGGAGCGCTTTGAAGCCTTTGTTGGAAATGGGAATATCTTCACACACAAACTAACCAGAAGCATTCTCAGAAACTTCTTTGTGATGCGTGCGTTGAACCCAGAGAGATGAACCTTTCCTTTGATAGAGCAGTTTTGAAACGTGTTTTTGTAAGATCTGCAAGCGGATAATTGGCTTCGCTTTGTGTCCTTTGGTGGGAACGGGAATATCTTCTAATAAAAATTAGACAGAAATATTCTCAGAATCTTCTTTGTGATGTGGGCATTCAACTAACACAGTTGAACATTTCTTTTCACAGAACAGTTTTGAAACACTCTTTTGAACAATTGCAGGTGAATCTTTGGAGCGCTTTGAAGCCTTTGTTGGAAATAGGAATATATTCACAAACAAACTAGCCAGAAGCATGCTCAGAAACTACTTCGTGATGTCTGCATTCAACACACAGAGTTGAACATACCTCTTCACAGAGCAGTTTTGAAAACCTCTTTCTGTAGAATCTGCAAGTGGATATTCGGACCACTTTGAGGCCTTCATAGGAAACAGTAATATCTTCACATAAAAACTAGATAGAAAGCATTGTCAGAAAGTTCTTTGTGATGTGTGAATTCAACTCACAGAGTTGAACCTTCCTTTAATAGAGCAGTTTTGAAACACTCTTTTTCTAGAATCTGCAAGTAGATATTTGGAGCGCTTTGAGGCCTTCTTTGGAAACCGGAATATCTTCACATAAAAAGTAGATAGGGCATTCTCAGAAACTTTTTCGTGATATGTGGATTCAACTCACAGCGTTGAACCTTTCTTTTGATAGAGCAGTTTTGTAAAACTCCTTTATCGAATCTGCAAGTAGACATTTGGAGTGCTTTGGGGGCTGTGGTGCAAAAGGAAATGTCTTCCCATAGAAACTAGACTGAAGCATTCTCAGCAACTTCTTTGTGACGTTTGCTTTCATCTCACAGTGTTGAACATACCTTTCCATAGAGTAGTTTTGAAGCACTATTTTTGTAGAATCTGCAAGTGGATATTTGGACTGCTTTGAGGCCTTCATCGGAAACGGGAATATCTTCACATAAACACTAGACAGAAGCATTCTCAGAAACTTCTTTGTGGTCTGTCCATTCAACTCACAGAGTTGAACCTTCCTTTTTATGGAGCAGTTTTGAAACACTGTTTTCGGAGGATCTGCAAGTGGATATTTGGAGCACTTTGAGGCCTACGGTAGAAAAAGAAATATCTGCCTATGACAACTAGACAGAAGCATTCCGAGAAAAGTTCTTTGTGATGTTTGCATTCAACTAGCAGAGTTGAACCTTCCTTTTGATAGGGCAGTTTGGAAACACTCTTTTTGTAGAATCTGCATGTGGATATCTGGAGCGGTTTGAGGCCTACAGTCAAAAAGGAAATATCTTCCTGGGAAAAATAGACGAAAGCATTCTCAGAAACTGCTTTGTGATATGCGCATTCGACTCACCGAGTTGAAACTTTTTTTTGATACAGCAGTTTTGAAACACTCTGTAGAATCTGAAAGTGGATATTTGGAGCTCTTTGAGGGCTATGGCGGAAAAGAAAATATATTCACATTAAAGTAGACAGCAGCATTCTCAGAAACTTCTTTAGGATGTTTGCAGTAAACTCACAGAGTTGAACATACCTTTCCGTAGAGCAGTTTTGAAACACTCTGTTTGTGGGATCCGCAAGTGGATATTTGGACCGCTTTGAGACCTTTGCTGGAAATGGGAATATCTTCACGTATAAACTAGACAGAAGCATTTTCAGAAACTTCTTCGTGATGTGTGCATTCTACTCCCAAATTTGAATCTTCCTTCTCATGAAGCAGTTTTGAAACACTCTGTTTGTGCAATCCACAATTGGATATTTGGAACGCTTTGATGCCCGTTGTAGAAAAGGTAATATCCTCATATAAAAACTAGACAGAAGGATTCACAGAAAATGCTTTGTGATGTGTGCATTCAAATCACGGAGTTGAATCTTTCTTTTGTTAGAGCAGTTTTGAAACACTCTTTCTGTGGAATCTGCCAGCGGACACTTGGAGCGCTTTGAGGGCTGTGGTGGAGAAGGAAATATCTTCCCATAAAAACTAGAAAGAAGCATACTCAGAAACATTTATGTGAAGCGTGCATTCAACTCACAGAGTTGAACCTTCCTTTTGATACAACAGTTTTGAAACACTCTTTTGAACAATTGCAGGTGAATCTTTGGAGCGCTTTGAAGCCTTTGTTGGAAATGGGAATATCTTCACACACAAACTAGCCAGAAGCATTCTCAGAAACTTCTTTGTGATGTGTGCGTTGAACCCAGAGAGATGAACCTTTCCTTTGATAGAGCAGTTTTGAAACGTGTTTTTGTAAGATCGGCAAGCGGATAATTGGCTTCGCTTTGTGTCCTTTGGTGGAAACGCGAATATCTTCTAATAAAAACTAGACAGAAATATTCTCAGAATCTCCTTTGTGATGTGGGCATTCAACTAACACAGTTGAACATTTCTTTTCACAGAGCAGTTTTGAAACACTCTTTTGGTAGAATCTGCCAGTGGATATTTGGAGCGCTTGGAGGGCTATTGTGCCAATGGAAGTATCTGCCCCTGAAAACTATACAGAAGCATTCTCAGAAACTACTTCGTGATGTTTGCATTCAACTCACAGAGTTGAACATACCTCTTCATAGAGCAGTTTTGAAAACCTCTTTCTGTAGAATCTGTAAGTGGATATTCGGACCACTTTGAGGCCTTCATAGGAAACAGTAATATCTTCACATAAAAACTAGATAGAAGCATTGTCAGAAAGTTCTTTGTGATGTGTGAATTCAACTCACAGAGTTGAACTTTCCTTTAATAGAGCAGTTTTGAAACACTCTTTTTCTAGAATCTGCAAGTAGATATTTGGAGCGCTTTGAGGCCTTCGTTGGAATCCGGAATATCTTCACATAAAACGTAGATAGAGGCATGCTCAGAAACTTTTTTGTCATATGTAGATTCAACTCACAGCGTTGAACCTTTCTTTTGATAGAGCAGTTTTGAAAAACTCTTTTATCGAATCTGCAAGTAGACATTTGGAGTGCTTTGAGGGCTCAGGTGCAAAAGGAAATGTCTTCCCATAGAAACTAGACTGAAGCTTTCTCAGCAACTTCTTGGTGACGTTTGCATTCATCTCACAGTGTTGAACATACCTTTCCATAGAGTAGTTTTGAAACACTGTTTTTGTAGAATCGGCAAGTGGATATTTGGACTGCTTTGAGGCCTTCATCGGAAACGGGAATATCTTCACATAAACACTAGAGAGAAGCATTCTCAGAAACTTCTTTGTCATCTGTCCATTCAACTCACAGAGTTGAACCTTCCTTTTTATGGAGCAGTTTTGAAACACTCCTTTTGGAGAATCTGCAAGTGGATATTTGGAGCGATTTGAGGCCTATGGTAGAAAAAGAAATATCTGCCTCTAAAAACCAGACAGAAGCATTCCGAGAAACTTCTTTGTGATGTTTGCATTCAACTAGCAGAGTTAAAACTTCCTTTTGATAGGGCAGTTTGGAAACACTCTTTTTGTAGAATCTGCATGTGGATATCTGGAGCGGTTTGAGGCCTACGGTCAAAAAGGAAATATCTTCCTGGGAAAAATAGACGAAAGCATTCTCAGAAAGTGCTTTGTGATATGCGCATTCGACTCACCGAGTTGAAACTTTTTTTTGATAGAGCAGTTTTGAAACACTCTGTAGAATCTGAAAGTGGATATTTGGAGCACTTTGAGGGCTATGGCGGAAAAGAAAATATATTCACATTAAAGTAGACAGCAGCATTCTCAGAAACTTCTTTAGGATGTTTGCAGTAAACTCACAGAGTTGAACCTACCTTTCCGTAGAGCAGTTTTGAAACACTCTGTTTGTGGGATCCGCAAGGGGATATTTGGAACGCTTTGAGACCTTTGCTGGAAATGGGAATATCTTCACATATAAACTAGACAGAAGCATTCTCAGTAAACTTCTTCGTGATGTGTGCATTCTACTCCCAAATTTGAATCTTCCTTTTCATGAAGCAGTTTTGAAACACTCTGTTTGTGCAATCCACAATTGGATAATTGGAACGCTTTGATGCCCATGGTAGAAAAGGAAATATCCTCATATAAAAACTAGACAGAAGGATTCACAGAAAATGCTTTGTGATGTGTACATTCAAATCACGGAGTTGAATCTTTCTTTTGTCAGAGCAGTTTTGAAACACTGTTTCTGTGGAATCTGCCAGCGGACACTTGGAGCGCTTTGAGGGCTGTGGTGGAGAAGGAAATATCTTCCCATAAAAACTAGAAAGAAGCATTCTCAGAACCATTTATGTGAAGCGTGCATTCAACTCACAGAGTTGAACCTTCCTTTTGATAGAACAGTTTTGAAACACTCTTTTGAACAATTGCAGGTGAGTATTTGGAGGGCTTTGAAGCCTTTGTTGGAAATGGGAATATCTTCACACACAAACTAGCCAGAAGCATTCTCAGAAACTTCTTTGTGATGTGTGCATTGAACCCAGAGAGATGAACCTTTCCTTTGATAGAGCAGTTTTGAAACGTGTTTTTGTAAGATCTGCAAGCGGATAGTTGGCTTCGCTGTGTGTCCTTTGGTGGAAACGGGAATATCTTCTAATAAAAACTAGACAGAGATATTCTCAGAAACTTCTTTGTGATGTGGGCATTCAACTAACACAGTTGAACATATCTTTTCACAGAGAAGTTTTGAAACACTCTTTTGGTCGAATCTGCCAGTGGATATTTGGAGCGCTTTGAGGGCTATTGTGCCAATGGAAATATCTGCCCCTAAAAACTAGACAGAAACATTCTCAGAAACTGCTTTGTGATGTTTGCATTCAACTCACACAGGTGAACATACCTCTTCATAGAGCAGTTTTGCAAACCTCTTTTTGTAGAATCTGCAAGTGGATATTCGGACCACTTTGAGGCCTTCATAGGAAACAGTAATATCTTCACATAAAAACTAGACAGAAGCATTGTCAGAAAGTTCTTTGTGATGTGTGAATTCAACTCACAGAGTTGAACCTTCCTTTAATAGAGCAGTTTTGAAACTCTCTTTTTGTAGAATCTGCAAGTAGATATTTGGAGCGCTTTGAGGCCTTCTTTGGAAACCGGAATATCTTCACATAAAAAGTAGATAGAGGCATTCTCAGAAACTTTTTCGTGATATGTGGATTCAACTCACAGCGTTGAACCTTTCTTTTGATAGAGCAGTTTTGTAAAACTCTTTTATCGAATCTGCAAGTAGACATTTGGAGTGCTTTGGGGGCTGTGGTGCAAAAGGAAATGTCTTCCCATAGAAACTAGACTGAAGCATTCTCAGCAACTTCTTGGTGACGTTTGCATTCGTCTCACAGTGTTGAACATACCTTTCCATAGAGTGGTTTTGAAACACTGTTTTTGTAGAATCGGCAAGTGGATATTTGGACTGCTTTGAGGCCTTCATCGGAAACGGGAATATCTTCACATAAACACTAGAGAGAAGCATTCTCAGAAACTTCTTTGTCATCTGTCCATTCAACTCACAGAGTTGAACCTTCCTTTTTATGGAGCAGTTTTGAAACACTCCTTTTGGAGAATCTGCAAGTGGATATTTGGAGCGCTTTGAGGCCTATGGTAGAAAAAGAAATATCCGCCCCTAAAAACCAGACAGAAGCATTCTGAGAAACTTCTTTGTGATGTTTACATTCAACTACCAGAGTTGAACCTTCCTTTTGATAGGGCAGTTTGGAAACACTCTTTTTGTAGAATCTGCATGTGGATATCTGGAGCGATTTGAGGCCTACGGTCCAAAAGGAAATATCTTCCTGGGAAAAATGGACGAAAGCATTCTCAGAAACTGCTTTGTGATATGTGCATTCAACTCACCGAGTTGAAACTTTTTTTGGATAGAGCAGTTTTGAAACACTCTGTAGAATCTGAAAGTGGATATTTGGAGCTCTTTGAGGGCTATGGTGGAAAAGAAAATATATTCACATTAAACTATACAGCAGCATTCTCAGAAACATCTTTAGGATGTTTGCAGTAAACTCATAGAGTTCAACATACCTTTCCGTAGAGCAGCTTTGAAACACTCTGTTTGTGGGATCCGCAAGTGGATATTTGGACCGCTTTGAGACCTTTGCTGGAAATGGGAATATCTTCACATATAAACTAGACAGAAGCATTCTCAGAAACTTCTTCGTGACGTGTGCATTGTACTCCCAAATTTGAATCTTCCTTCTCATGGAGCAGTTTTGAAACACTCTGTTTGTGCAATCTACAATTGGAGAATTGGAAGGCTTGGATGCCCATGGTAGAAAAGGAAATATCCTCATATAAAAACTAGACAGAAGGATTCACAGAAAATGCTTTGTGATGTGTGCATTCAAATCACGGGGTTGAATCTTTCTTTTGTTAGAGCAGTTTTGAAACACTGTTTCTGAGGAATCTGCCAGCGGACACTTGGAGCGCTTTGAGGGTCATGGTGGAGAAGGAAATATCTTTCCATAAAAACTAGAAAGAAGCATTCTCAGAAACATTTATGTGAAGCGTGCATTCAACTCACAGAGTTGAACCTTCCTTTTGATACAACAGTTTTGAAACACTCTTTTGAACAATTGCAGGTGAATCTTCGGAGCGCTTTGAAGCCTTTGTTGGAAATGGGAATATCTTCACACACAAACTAGCCAGAAGCATTCTCAGAAACATCTTTGTGATGTGTGCGTTGAACCCAGAGAGATGAACCTTTCCTTTGATAGAGCAGTTTTGAAACGTGTTTTTGTAAGGTCTGCAAGCGGATAATGGGCTTCGCTTTGTGTCCTTTGGTGGAAACGGGAATATCTTCTAATAAAAACTAGACAGAAATATTCTCAGAATCTTCTTTGTGATGTGGGCATTCAACTAACACAGTTGAACGTTTCTTTTCACAGAGCAGTTTTGAAACACTCTTTTGGTAGAATCTGCCAGTGGATATTTGGAGCGCTTTGAGGGCTATTGTGCCAACGGAAATATCTGCCCCTAAAAACTAGACAGAAGCATTCTCAGAAACTACTTCGTGATGTTTGCATTCAACACACAGAGTTGAACATACCTCTTCACAGAGCAGTTTTGAAAACCTCTTTCTGTACAATCTGCAAGTGGATATTCGGACCACTTTGAGGCCTTCATAGGAAACAGTAATATCTTTGCATAAAAACTAGATAGAAGCATTGTCAGAAAGTTCTTTGTGATGTGTGAATTCAACTCACAGAGTTGAACCTTCCTTCAATAGAGCAGTTTTGAAACACTCTTTTTCCAGAATCTGCAAGTAGATATTTCGAGCGCTTTGAGGCCTTCGTTGGAAACCGGAATATCTTCACAGGAAAAGTAGATAGAGGCATTCTCAGAAACTTTTTTGTGATATGTAGATTCAACTCACAGCGTTGAACCTTTTTTTGGATGGAGCAGTTTTGAAAAACTCTTTTATCGAATCTGCAGGTAGACATTTGGGGTGCTTTGAGGGCTGTGGTGCAAAAGGAAATGTCTTCCCATAGAAACTAGACTGAAGCATTCTCAGCAACTTCTTGGTGACGTTTGCATTCATCTCACAGTGTTGAACATACCTTTCCATAGAGTGGTTTTGAAACACTGTTTTTGTAGAATCGGCAAGTGGATATTTGGACTGCTTTCAGGCCTTCATCACAAACGGGAATATCTTCACATAAACACTAGAGAGAAGCATTCTCAGAAACTTCTTTGTCATCTGTCCATTCAACTCACAGAGTTGAACCTTCCTTTTTCTGGAGCAGTTTTGAAACACTCTTTTTCGAGAATCTGCAAGTGGATATTTGGAGCGCTTTGAGGCCTATGGTAGAAAAAGTAATATCTGCCTCTAAAAACCAGACAGAAGCATTCTGAGAAACTTCTTTGTGATGTTTGCCTTCAACTACCAGAGTTGAACCTTCCTTTTGATAGGGCAGTTTGGAAACACTCTTTTTGTAGAATCTGCATGTGGATATCTGGAGCGATTTGAGGCCTACGGTCCAAAAGGAAATATCTGCCTGGGAAAGATAGACGAAAGCATTCTCAGAAAGTGCTTTGTGATATGTGCATTCGACTCACCGAGTTGAAACTTTTTTTTGATAGAGCAGTTTTGAAACACTCTGTAGAATCTGAAAGTGGATATTTGGAGCTCTTTGAGGGCTATGGCGGAAAAGAAAATATATTCACATTAAGGTAGACAGCAGCATTCTTAGAAACTTCTTTAGGATGTTTGCAGTAAACTCACAGAGTTGAACCTACCTTTCCGTAGAGCAGTTTTGAAACACTCTGTTTGTGGGATCCGCAAGTGGATATTTGGACCGCTTTGAGACCTTTGCTGGAAATGGGAATATCTTCACATATAAACTAGGCAGAAGCATTCTCAGAAACTTCTTCGTGATGTGTGCATTCTACTCCCAAATTTGAATCTTCCTTTTCATGAAGCAGTTTTGAAACACTCGGTTTGTGCAATCCACAATTGGATAATTGGAACGCTTTGATGCCCATGGTAGAAAAGGAAATATCCTCATATAAAAACTAGACAGAAGGATTCACAGAAAATGCTTTGTGATGTGTGCATTCAAATCACGGAGTTGAATCTTTCTTTTGTCAGAGCAGTTTTGAAACACTGTTTCTGTGGAATCTGCCAGCGGACTCTTGGAGCTCTTTGAGGGCTATGGTGGAGAAGGAAATATCTTCCCATAAAAAGTAGAAAGAAGCATTCTCAGAAACATTTATGTGAAGCGTGCATTCAACTCACAGAGTTGAACCTTCCTTTTGATACAACAGTTTTGAAACACTCTTTTGAACAATTGCAGGTGAATCTTTGGAGCGCTTTGAAGCCTTTGTTGGAAATGGGAATATATTCACACACAAACTAGCCAGAAGCATTCCCAGAAACTTCTTTGTGATGTGTGCGTTGAACCCAGAGAGATGAACCTTTCCTTTGATAGAGCAGTTTTGAAACGTGTTTTTGTAAGATCGGCAAGCGGATAATTGGCTTCGCTTTGTGTCCTTTGGTGGAAACGGGAATATCTTCTAATAAAAACTAGACAGAAATATTCTCACAATCTCCTTTGTGATGTGGGCATTCAACTAACACAGTTGAACATTTCTTTTCACAGAGCAGTTTTGAGACACTCTTTTGGTAGAATCTGCCAGTGGATATTTGGAGCGCTTTGAGGGCTGTTGTGCCAATGGAAATATCTGCCCCTAAAATCTAGACAGAAGCATTCTCAGAAACTGTTTTGTGATGTTTGCATTCAACTCACAGAGGTGAACATACCTCTTCATAGAGCAGTTTTGCAAACCTCTTTTTGTAGAATCTGCAAGTGGATATTCGGACCACTTTGAGGCCTTCATAGGAAACAGTAATATCTTCACATAAAAACTAGATAGAAGCATTGTCAGAAAGTTCTTTGTGATGTGTGAATTCAACTCACAGAGTTGAACCTTCCTTTAATAGAGCAGTTTTGAAACACTCTTTTTCTAGAATCTGCCAGTAGATATTTGGAGCGCTTTGAGGCCTTCGTTGGAATCCGGAATATCTTCACATAAAAAGTTGATAGAGGCATTCTCAGAAACTTTTTTGTGATATGTAGATTCAACTCACAGCGTTGAACCTTTCTTTGGATGGAGCAGTTTTGACAAACCCTTTTATCGAATCTGCAGGTAGACATTTGGGGTGCTTTGAGGGCTGTGGTGCAAAAGGTAATGTCTTCCCATAGAAACTAGACTGAAGCATTCTCAGCAACTTCTTGGTGACGTTTGCATTCATCTCACAAGTGTTGAACATACCTTTCCATAGAGTAGTTTTGAAACACTGTTTTTGTAGAATCGGCAAGTGGATATTTGGACTGCTTTGAGGCCTTCATCGGAAACGGGAATATCTTCACATAAACACTAGAGAGAAGCATTCTCAGAAACTACTTTGTGATCTGTCCATTCAACTCACAGAGTTGAACCTTCCTTTTTATGGAGCAGTTTTGAAACACTGTTTTTGGAGAATCTGCAAGTGGATATTTGGAGCGCTTTTAGGCCTATGGTAGAAAAAGAAATATCTGCCTATTACAACTAGACTGAAGCATTCTGTGAAACTTCTTTGTGATGTTTGCCTTCAACTACCAGAGTTGAACCTTCCTTTTGATAGGGCAGTTTGGAAACACTCTTTTTGTAGAATCTGCATGTGGATATCTGGAGCGATTTGAGGCCTACGGTCCAAAAGGAAATATCTTCCTGGGAAAGATAGACGAAAGCATTCTCAGAAACTGCTTTGTGACATGTGCATTCGACTCACCGAGTTGAAACTTTTTTTGGATAGAGCAGTTTTGAAACACTCTGTAGAATCTGAAAGTGGATATTTGGAGCTCTTTGAGGGCTATGGCGGAAAAGAAAATATATTCACATTAAACTAGACAGCAGCATTCCCGGAAACTTCTTTAGGATGTTTGCAGTAAACTCACAGAGTTGAACATACCTTTCCGTAGAGCAGTTTTGAAACACTCTGTTTGTGGGATCCGCAAGTGGATATTTGGACCGCTTTGAGACCTTTGCTGGAAACGGGAATATCTTCACATATAAACTAGACAGAAGCATTCTCAGAAACTTCTTCGTGATGTGTGCATTCTACTCCCGAATTTGAATCTTCCTTTTCATGAAGCAGTTTTGAAACACTCTGTTTGTGCAATCCACAATTGGATAAATGGAACGCTTTGATGCCCATGGTAGAAAAGGAAATATCCTCATATAAAAACTAGACAGAAGGATTCACAGAAAATGCTTTGTGATGTGTGCATTCAAATCACAGAGTTGAATCTTTCTTTTGTTAGAGCAGTTTTGAAAGACTGTTTCTGTGGAATCTGCCAGCGGACACTTGGAGCGCTTTGAGGGCTACGGTGGAGAAGGAAATATCTTCACATAAAAACTAGAAAGAAGCATTCTCAGAAACATTTATGTGAAGCGTGCATTCAACTCACAGAGTTGAACCTTCCTTTGGATACAACAGTTTTGAAACACTCTTTTGAACAATTGCAGGTGAATCTTTGGAGCGCTTTGAAGCCTTTGTTGGAATTGGGAATATCTTCACACACAAACTAGCCAGAAACATTCTCAGAAACTTCTTTGTGATGTGTGCGTTGAACCCAGAGAGATGAACCTTTCCTTTGATAGAGCAGTTTTGAAACGTGTTTTTGTAAGATCTGCAAGCGGATAGTTGGCTTCGCTTTGTGTCCTTTGTTGGAAACGGGAATATCTTCTAATAAAAACTAGACAGAAATATTCTCAGAATCTTCTTCGTGATGTGGGCATTCAACTAACACAGTTGAACCTTTCTTTTCACAGAGCAGTTTGGAAACACCCTTTTGGTAGAATCTGCCAGTGGATATTTGGAGCGCTTTGAGGGCTATTGTGCCAACGGAAATATCTGCCCCTAAAAACTAGACAGAAGCATTCTCAGAAACTGCTCTGTGATGTTTGCATTCAACTCACAGAGTTGAACATACCTCTTCATAGAGCACTTTTGGAAACCTCTTTTTGTAGAATCTGCAAGGGGATATTCGGACCACTTTGAGGCCTTCATAGGAAACAGTAATATCTTCACATAAAAACTAGATAGAAGCATTGTCAGAAAGTTCTTTGTGATGTGTGAATTCAACTCACAGAGTTGAACCTTCCTTCAATAGAGCAGTTGTGAAACACTCTTTTTCTAGAATCTGCAAGTGGATACTTGGAGCGCTTTGAGGCCTTCGTTGGAAACCGGAATATCTTCACAGGAAAAGTAGATAGAGGCATTCTCAGTAAACTTTTTTGTGATATGTAGATTCAACTCACAGCGTTGAACCTTTCTTTGGATGGAGCAGTTTTGAAAAACTCTTTTATCGAATCTGCAGGTAGACATTTGGGGTGCTTTGAGGGCTGTGGTGCAAAAGGAAATGTCTTCCCATAGAAACTAGACTGAAGCATTCTCAGCAACTTCTTTGTGACGTTTGCATTCATCTCACAGTGTTGAACATACCTTTCCATAGAGTAGTTTTGAAACACTGTTTTTGTAGAATCTGCAAGTGGATATTTGGACTGCTTTGAGGCCTTCATCGGAAACGGGAATATCTTCACATAAACACTAGACAGAAGCATCCTCAGAAACTTCTTTGTCATCTGTCCATTCAACTCACAGATTTGAACCTTCCTTTTTCTGCAGCAGTTTTGAAACACTCTTTTTGGAGAATCTGCAAGTGGATATTTGGAGCGCTTTGAGGCCTATGGTAGAAAAAGAAATATCTGCCTCTAAAAACCAGACAGAAAGCATTCCGAGAAACTTCTCTGTGATGTTTGCATTCAACTAGCAGAGTTGAACCTTCCTTTTGATAGGGCAGTTTGGAAACACTCTTTTTGTAGAATCTGCATGTGGATATCTGGAGCGGTTTGAGGCCTACGGTCAAAAAGGAAATATCTTCCTGGGAAAAATAGACAAAAGCATTCTCAGAAACTGCTTTGTGATATGGGCATTCGACTCACCGAGTTGAAACTTTTTTTTGATAGAGCAGTTTTGAAACACTCTGTAGAATCTGAAAGTGGATATTTGGAGCTCTTTGAGGGCTATGGCGGAAAACAAAATATATTCACATTAAAGTAGACAGCAGCATTCCCAGAAACTTCTTTAGGATGTTTGCAGTAAACTCACAGAGTTGAACATACCTTTCCGTAGAGCTGTTTTGAAACACTCTGTTTGTGGGATCCGCAAGTGGATATTTGGACCGCTTTGAGACCTTTGCTGGAAACGGGAATATCTTCACATATAAACTAGACAGAAGCATTCTCAGAAACTTCTTCGTGATGTGTGCATTCTACTCCCAAATTTGAATCTTCCTTTTCATGAAGCAGTTTTGAAACACTCTATTTGTGCATTCTACAATTGGATGATTGGAACGCTTTGATGCCCATGGTAGAAAAGGAAATATCCTCATATAAAAACTAGGCAGAAGGATTCACAGAAAATGCTTTGTGATGTGTGCATTCAGATCACGGAGTTGAATCTTTCTTTTGTTAGAGCAGTTTTGAAACACTGTTTCTGTGGAATCTGCCAGCGGACACTTGGAGCGCTTTGAGGGCTATGGTGGAGAAGGAAATATCTTCACATAAAAACTAGAAAGAAGCATTCTCAGAACCATTTATGTGAAGCGTGCGTTCAACTCACAGAGTTGAACCTTCCTTTTGATAGAACAGTTTTGAAACACTCTTTTGAACAATTGCAGGTGAATATTTGGAGGGCTTTGAAGCCTTTTTTGGAAATGGGAATATCTTCACACACAAACTAGCCAGAAGCATTCTCAGAAACTTCTTTGTGATGTGTGCGTTGAACCCAGAGAGATGAACCTTTCCTTTGATAGAGCTGTTTTGAAACGTGTTTTTCTAACATCTGCAAGCGGATAATTGGCTTCGCGTTGTGTCCTTTGGTGGAAACGGGAATATCTTCTAATAAAAACTAGACAGAAATATTCTCAGAATCTTCTTTGTGATGTGGGCATTCAACTAACACAGTTGAACGTTTCTTTTCACAGAGCAGTTTTGAAACACTCTTTTGGTAGAATCTGCCAGTGGATATTTGGAGCGCTTTGAGGGCTATTGTGCCAATGGAAAATCTGCCCCTAAAAACTAGACAGAAGCATTCTCAGAAACTACTTCGTGATGTTTGCATTCAACTCACAGAGTTGAACATACCTCTTCACAGAGCAGTTTTGAAAACCTCTTTTTGTAGAATCTGCAAGTGGATATTCGGAGCACTTTGAGGCCTTCATAGGAAACAGTAATGTCTTCGCATAAAAACTAGATAGAAGCATTGTCAGAAAGTTCTTTGTGATGTGTGAATTCAACTCACAGAGTTGAACCTTCCTTTAATAGAGCAGTTTTGAAACACTCTTTTTCTAGAATCTGCGAGTAGATATTTGGAGCGCTTTGAGGCCTTCGTTGGAAACCGGAATATCTTCACATAGAAAGTAGATAGAGGCATTCTCAGAAACTTTTTTGTGATATGTAGATTCAACTCACAGCGTTGAACCTTTCTTTGGATGGAGCAGTTTTGAAAAACTCTTTTATCGAATCTGCAGGTAGACATTTGGGGTGCTTTGAGGGCTGTGGTGCAAAAGGAATTGTCTTCCCATAGAAACTAGACTGAAGCATTCTCAGCAACTTCTTGGTGACGTTTGCATTCATCTCACAGTGTTGAACATACGTTTCCATAGAGTGGTTTTGAAACACTGTTTTTGTAGAATCGGCAAGTGGATATTTGGACTGCTTTGAGGCCTTCATCGGAAACGGGAATATCTTCACATAAACACTAGAGAGAAGCAATCTCAGAAACTTCTTTGTGATCTGTCCGTTCAACTCACAGAGTTGAACCTTCCTTTTTATGGAGCAGTTTTGAAACACTGTTTGTGGAGAATCTGCAAGTGGATATTTGGAGCGCCTTGAGGCCAATGGTAGAAAAAGAAATATCTGCCTCTAAATACTAGACTGAAGCATTCCGAGAAACTCCTTTGTGATGTTTGCATTCAACTAGCAGAGTTGAACCTTCCTTTTGATAGGGCAGTTTGGAAACACTCTTTTTGTAGAATCTGCATGTGGATATCTGGAGCGGTTTGAGGCCTACGGTCAAATAGGAAATATCTTCCTGGGAAAAATAGACGAAAGCATTCTCAGAAACTGCTTTGTGATATGTGCATTCGACTCACCGAGTTGAAACTATTTTTTGATAGAGCAGTTTTGAAACACTCTGTAGAATCTGAAAGTGGATATTTGGAGCTCTTTGAGGGCTATGGCGGAAAAGAAAATATATTCACATTAAAGTAGACAGCAGCATTCTCAGAAACTTCTTTAGGATGTTTGCAGTAAACTCAGAGAGTTGAACATACCTTACGGTAGAGTAGTTTTGAAACACTCTGTTTGTGGGATCCTCAAGTGGATATTTGGACCGCTTTGAGACCTTTGCTGGAAATGGGAATATCTTCACATATAAGCTAGACAGAAGCATTCTCAGAAACTTCTTGGTGATGTGTGCATTGTACTCCCAAATTTGAATCTTCCTTCTCATGGAGCAGTTTTGAAACACTCTGTTTGTGCAATCTACAATTGGAGAATTGGAATGCTTGGATGCCCGTGGTAGAAAAGGAAATATCCTCATATAAAAACTAGACAGAAGGATTCACAGAAAATGCTTTGTGATGTGTGCATTCAAATCACGGAGTTGAATCTTTCTTTCGTTAGAGCAGTTTTGAAACACTGTTTCTGTGGAATCTGCCAGCGGACACTTGGAGCGCTTTGAGAGCTATGGTGGAGAAGGAAATATCTTCACATAAAAACTAGAAAGAAGCATTCTCAGAAACATTTATGTGAAGCGTGCATTCAACTCACGGAGTTGAACCTTCCTTTTGATACAACAGTTTTGAAACACTCTTTGGAACAATTGCAGGTGAATCTTTGGAGCGCTTTGAAGCCTTTGTTGCAAATGGGAATATCTTCACACACAAACTAGCCAGAAGCATTCCCAGAAACTTCTTTGTGATGTGTGCGTTGAACCCAGAGAGATGAACCTTTCCTTTGATAGAGCAGTTTTGAAACGTGTTTTTGTAAGATCTGCAAGCGGATAATTGGCTTTGCTTTGTGTCCCTTGGTGAAAACGGGAATATCTTCTAATAAAAACTAGACAGAAATATTCTCAGAATCTCCTTTGTGATGTGGGCATTCAACTAACACAGTTGAACATTTCTTTTCACAGAGCAGTTTTGAAACACTCTTTTGGTAGAATCTGCCAGTGGATATTTGGAGCGCTTGGAGGGCTATTGTGCCAATGGAAATATCTGCCCCTGAAAACTGGACAGAAGCATTCTCAGAAACTACTTCGTGATGTTTGCATTCAACACACAGAGTTGAACATACCTCTTCACAGAGCAGTTTTGAAAACCTCTTTCTGTAGAATCTGCAAGTGGATATTCGGACCACTTTGAGGCCTTCATAGGAAACAGTAATATCTTCACATAAAAACTGGATAGAAGCATTGTCAGGAAGTTCTTTGTGATGTGTGAATTCAACTCACAGAGTTGAACCTTCCTTTAATAGAGCAGTTTTGAAACACTCTTTTTCTAGAATCTGCAAGTAGATATTTGGAGCGCTTGGAGGCCTTCTTTGGAAACCGGAATATCTTCAAAGGAAATGTAGATAGAGGCATTCTCAGAAACATTTTTTGTGATATGTAGACTCAACTCACAGCGTTGAACCTTTCTTTGGATGGAGCAGTTTTGAAAAACTCTTTTATCGAATCTGCAGGTAGACATTTGGGGTGCTTTGAGGGCTGTGGTGCAAAAGGAAATGTCTTCCCATAGAAACTAGACTGAAGCATTCTCAGCAACTTCTTTGTGACGTTTGCATTCATCTCACAGTGTTGAACATACCTTTCCATAGAGTAGTTTTGAAACACTGTTTTTGTAGAATCGGCAAGTGGATATTTGGACTGCTTTGAGGCCTTCATCGGAAACGGGAATATCTTCACATAAACGCTAGAGAGAAGCATTCTCAGAAACTTCTTTGTGATCTGTCCATTCAACTCACAGAGTTGAACCTTCCTTTTTCTGGAGCAGTTTTGAAACACTGTTCTTGGAGAATCTGCAAGTGGATATTTGGAGCGCTTTGAGGCCTGTGGTAGAAAAAGAAATATCTGCCTCTAAAAACTAGACAGAAGCATTCCGAGAAACTTCTCTGTGATGTTTGCATTCAACTAGCAGAGTTGAACCTTCCTTTTGATAGGGCAGTTTGGAGACACTCTTTTTTTAGAATCTGCATGTGGATATCTGGAGCGGTTTGAGGCCTACGGTCAAAAAGGAAATATCTTCCTGGGAAAAATAGACGAAAGCATTCTCAGAAACTGCTTTGTGATATGTGCATTCGACTCACCGAGTTGAAACTTTTTTTTGATAGAGCAGTTTTGGAACACTCTGTAGAATCTGAAAGTGTAGATTTGGAGCTCTTTGAGGGCTATGGCGGAGAAGAAAATATATTCACATTAAACTAGACAGCAGCATTCCCAGAAACTTCTTTAGGATGTTTGCAGTAAACTCACAGAGTTGAACATACCTTTCCGTAGAGCAGTTTTGAAACACTCTGTTTGTGGGATCCGCAAGTGGATATTTGGACCGCTTTGAGACCTTTGCTGGAAACGGGAATATCTTCACATATAAACTAGACAGAAGCATTCTCAGAAACTTCTTCGTGATGTGTGCATTCTACTCCCGAATTTGAATCTTCCTTTTCATGAAGCAGTTTTGAAACACTCTGTTTGTGCAATCCACAGTTGGATAATTGGAAGGCTTTGATGCCCATGGTAGAAAAGGAAATATCCTCATATAAAAACTAGACAGAAGGATTCACAGAAAATGCTTTGTGATGTGTGCATTCAAATCACGGAGTTGAATCTTTCTTTTGTCAGAGCAGTTTTGAAAAAATGTTTCTGTGGAATCTGCCAGCGGACACTTGGAGCGCTTTGAGGGCTATGGTGGAGAAGGAAATATCTTCCCATAAAAACTAGAAAGAAGCATTCTCAGAACCATTTATGTGAAGCGTGCATTCAACTCACAGAGTTGAACCTTCCTTTTGATAGAACAGTTTTGAAACACTCTTTTGAACAATTGCAGGTGAATATTTGGAGGGCTTTGAAGCCTTTGTTGGAAATGGGAATATCTTCACACACAAACTAGCCAGAAGCATTCTCAGAAACTTCTTTGTGATGTGTGCGTTGAACCCAGAGAGATGAACCTTTCCTTTGATAGAGCAGTTTTGAAACTTGTTTTTGTAAGATCGGCAAGCGGATAATTGGCTTCGCTTTGTGTCCTTTGGTGGAAACGGGAATATCTTCTAATAAAAACTAGACAGAAATATTCTCAGAATCTTATTTGTGATGTAGGCATTCCACTAACACAGTTGAAGATTTCTTTTCATAGAGTAGTTTTGAAACACTCTTTTGGTAGAATCTGCCAGTGGATATTTGGAGCGCTTTGAGGGCTATTGTGCCAATGGAAATATCTTCCCCTGAAAACTAGACAGAAGCATTCTCAGAAACTACTTCGTGATGTTTGCATTCAACTCACAGAGTTGAACATACCTCTTCATAGAGCAGTTTTGAAAACCTCTTTCTGTAGAATCTGCAAGTGGATATTCGGACCACTTTGAGGCCTTCATAGGAAACAGTAATATCTTCACATAAAAACTAGATAGAAGCATTGTCAGAAAGTTCTTTGTGATGTGTGAATTCAACTCACAGTAGTTGAAACTTCCTTTAATAGAGCAGTTTTGAAACACTCTTTTTCTGGAATCTGCAAGTAGATATTTGGAGCGCTTTGAGGCCTTCGTTGGAAACCGGAGTATCTTCACAGGAAAAGTAGATAGGGGCATTCTCAGAAACTTGTTTTGTGATATGTAGATTCAACTCACAGCGTTGAACCTTTCTTTGGATGGAGCAGTTTTGAAAACCTCTTTTATCGAATCTGCAGGTAAACATTTGGGGTGCTTTGAGGGCTGTGGTGCAAAAGGAAATGTCTTCCCATAGAAACTAGACTGAAGCATTCTCAGAAACTACTTTGTGACGTTTGCATTCATCTCACAGTGTTGAACATACCTTTCCATAGAGTAGTTTTGAAGCACTATTTTTGTAGAATCTGCAAGTGGATATTTGGACTGCTTTGAGGCCTTCATCGGAAACGGGAATATCTTCACATAAACACTAGACAGAAGCATTCTCAGAAACTTCTTTGTGATCTGTCCATTCAACTCACAGAGTTGAACCTTCCTTTTTATGGAGTAGTTTTGAATCACTGTTTTTGGAGAATCTGCAAGTGGATATTTGGAGCGCTTTGAGGCCTATGGTAGAAAAAGAAATATCTGCCTCTAAAAACCAGACAGAAGCATTCCGAGAAACTTCTCTGTGATGTTTGCATTCAACTAGCAGAGTTGTACCTTCCTTTTGATAGGGCAGTTTGGAAACACTCTTTTTGTAGAATCTGCATGTGGATATCTGGAGCGGTTTGAGGCCTACGGTCAAAAAGGAAATATCTTCCTGGGAAAAATAGACGAAAGCATTCTCAGAAACTGCTTTGTGATATGGGAATTCGACTCACCGAGTTGAAACTTTTTTTTGATAGAGCAGTTTTGAAACACTCTGTAGAATCTGAAAGTGGATATTTGGAGCTCTTGCAGGGCTATGGCGGAAAAGAAAATATATTCACATTAAAGTAGACAGCAGCATTCTCAGAAACTTCTTTAGGATGTTTGCAGTAAACTCACAGAGTTGAACCTACCTTTCTGTAGAGCAGTTTTGAAACACTCTGTTTGTGGGATCCGCAAGTGGATATTTGGACCGCTTTGAGACCTTTGCTGGAAATGGGAATATCTTCACATATAAACTAGACAGAAGCATTCTCAGAAACTTCTTCATGATGTGTGCATTCTCCTCCCGAATTTGAATCTTCCTTTTCATGAAGCAGTTTTGAAACACTCTGTTTGTGCAATCCACAATTGGATAATTGGAACGCTTTGATGCCCATGGTAGAAAAGGAAATATCCTCATATAAAAACTAGACAGAAGGATTCACAGAAAATGCTTTGTGATGTGTGCATTCAAATCACGGAGTTGAATCTTTCTTTTGTTAGAGCAGTTTTCAAACACTGTTTCTGTGGAATCTGCCAGCGGACACTTGGAGCGCTTTGAGGGCTGTGGTGGAGAAGGAAATATCTTCCCATAAAAACTAGAAAGAAGCATTCTCAGAAACATTTATGTGAAGCGTGCCTTCAACTCACAGAGTTGAACCTTCCTTTTGATACAACAGTTTTGAAACACTCTTTGGAACAATTGCAGGTGAATCTTTGGAGCGCTTTGAAGCCTTTGTTGGAAATGGGAATATCTTCACACACAAACTAGCCAGAAGCATTCTCAGAAACTTCTTTGTGATGTGTGCGTTGAACCCAGAGAGATGAACCTTTCCTTTGAAAGAGCAGTTTTGAAACGTGTTTTTGTAAGATCTGCAAGCGGATAGTTGGCTTCGCTTTGTGTCCTTTGGTGGAAACGGGAATATCTTCTAATAAAAACTAGACAGAAATATTCTCAGAATCTTCTTTGTGATGTGGGCATTCAACTAACACAGTTGAACCTTTCTTTTCACAGAGCAGTTTTGAAACACTCTTTTGGTAGAATCTGCCAGTGGATATTTGGAGCGCTTTGAGGGCTATTGTGCCAACGGAAATATCTGCCCCTAAAAACTAGACAGAAGCATTCTCAGAAACTACTTCGTGATGTTTGCATTCAACTCACAGAGTTGAACATACCTCATCACAGAGCAGTTTTGAAAACCTCTTTTTGTAGAATCTGCAAGTGTATATTCGGAGCACTTTGAGGCCTTCATAGGAAACAGTAATATCTTCGCATAAAAACTAGATAGAAGCATTGTCAGGAAGTTCTTTGTGATGTGTGAATTCAACTCACAGAGTTGAACCTTCCTTTAATAGAGCAGTTTTGAAACACTCTTTTTCTAGAATCTGCAAGTAGATATTTGGAGCGCTTAGAGGCCTTCTTTGGAAACCGGAATATCTTCACAGGAAATGTAGATAGAGGCATTCTCAGAAACATTTTTTGTGATATGTAGATTCAACTCACAGCGTTGAACCTTTCTTTGGATGGAGCAGTTTTGAAAAACTCTTTTATCGAATCTGCAGGTAGACATTTGGGGTGCTTTGAGGGCTGTGGTGCAAAAGGAAATGTCTTCCCATAGAAACTAGACTGAAGCATTCTCAGCAACTTCTTTGTGACGTTTGCATTCATCTCACAGTGTTGAACATACCTTTCCATAGAGTAGTTTTGAAATACTGTTTTTGTAGAATCGGCAAGTGGATATTTGGACTGCTTTGAGGCCTTCATCGGAAACGGGAATATCTTCACATAAACACTAGAGAGAAGCATTCTCAGAAACTTCTTTGTGATCTGTCCATTCAACTCACAGAGTTGAACCTTCCTTTTTATGGAGCAGTTTTGAAACACTCCTTTTGGAGAATCTGCAGGTGGATATTTGGAGCGCTTTGAGGCCTATGGTAGAAAAAGAAATATCTGCCTCTAAAAACCAGACAGAAGCATTCTGAGAAACTTCTTTGTGATGTTTGCCTTCAACTACCAGAGTTGAACCTTCCTTTTCATAGGGCAGTTTGGAAACACTCTTTTTGTAGAATCTGCATGTGGATATCTGGAGCGATTTGAGGCCTACGGTCCAAAAGGAAATATCTTCCTGGGAAAGATAGACGAAAGCATTCTCAGCAACTGCTTTGTGATATGTGCATTCGACTCACCGAGTTGAAACTTTTTTTTGATAGAGCAGTTTTGAAACACTCTGTAGAATCTGAAAGTGGATATTTGGAGATCTTTGAGGGCTATGTCGGAAAAGAAAATATATTCACATTAAAGTAGACAGCAGCATTCCCAGAAACTTCTTTAGGATGTTTGCAGTAAACTCACAGAGTTGAACATACCTTTCCATAGAGCAGCTTTGAAACACTCTGTGTGTGGGATCCGCAAGTGGATATTTGGACCGCTTTGAGACCTTTGCTGGAAACGGGAATATCTTCAAATATAAACTGGACAGAAGCATTCTAAGAAACTTCTTCTTGATGTGTGCATTCTACTCCAGAATTTGAATCTTCCTTCTCATGAAGCAGTTTTGAAACACTCTATTTGCGCAATCTACAATTGGATAATTGGAACGCTTTGATGCCCATGGTAGAAAAGGAAATATCCTCATATAAAAACTAGACAGAAGGATTCACAGAAAATGCTTTGTGATGTGTGCATTCAAATCACGGAGTTGAATCTTTCTTTTGTTATAGCAGTTTTGAAACACTGTTTCTGTGGAATCTGCCAGCGGACACTTGGAGCGCTTTGAGGGCTGTGGTGGAGAAGGAAATATCTTCCCATAAAAACTAGAAAGAAGCATTCTCAGAACCATTTATGTGAAGCGTGCGTTCAACTCACAGAGTTGAACCTTCCTTTTGACAGAACAGTTTTGAAACACTCTTTTGAACAATTGCAGGTGAATATTTGGAGGGCTTTGAAGCCTTTGTTGGAAATGGGAATATCTTCACACACAAACTAGCCAGAAGCATTCTCAGAAACTTCTTTGTGATGTGTGCGTTGAACCCAGAGAGATGAACCTTTCCTTTGACAGAGCAGTTTTGAAACGTGTTTTTGTAAGATCTGCAAGCGGATAGTTGGCTTCGCTGTGTGTCCTTTGGTGGAAACGGGAATATCTTCTAATAAAAACTAGACAGAAATATTCTCAGAATCTCCTTTGTGATGTGGGCATTCAACTAACACAGTTGAACATTTCTTTTCACAGAGCAGTTTTGAAACACTCTTTTGGTAGAATCTGCCAGTGGATATTTGGAGCGCTTGGAGGACTATTGTGCCAATGGAAATATCTGCCCCTGAAAACTGGACAGAAGCATTCTCAGAAACTAATTCGTGATGTTTGCATTCAACACACAGAGTTGAACATACCTCTTCACAGAGCAGTTTTGAAAACCTCTTTCTGTAGAATCTGCAAGTGGATATTCGGACCACTTTGAGGCCTTCATAGGAAACAGTAATATCTTCACATAAAAACTAGATAGAAGCATTGTCAGAAAGTTCCTTGTGATGTGTGAATTCAACTCACAGAGTTGAACCTTCCTTTAATAGAGCAGTTTTGAAACACTCTTCTTCTAGAATCTGCAATTAGATATTTGGAGCGCTTTGAGGCCTTCATTGGAAACCGGAATATCTTCACAGAAAAAGTAGATAGAGGCATTCTCAGAAACTTTTTTGTGATATGTAGATTCAACTCACAGCGTTGAACCTTTCTTTGGATGGAGCAGTTTTGAAAAACCCTTTTATCGAATCTGCAGGTAGACATTTGGGGTGCTTTGAGGGCTGTGGTGCAAAAGGAAATGTCTTCCCATAGAAACTAGACTGAAGCATTCTCTCAACTTCTTTGTGACGTTTGCATTCATCTCACAGTGTTGAACATACCTTTCCATCGAGTACTTTTGAAACACTGTTTTTGTAGAATCTGCAAGTGGATATTTGGACTGCTTTGAGGCCTTCATCGGAAACGGGAATATCTTCACATAAACACTAGAGAGAAGCATTCTCAGAAACTTCTTTGTCATCTGTCCATTCAACTCACAGAGTTGAACCTTCCTTTTTATGGAGCAGTTTTGAAACACTCCTTTTGGAGAATCTGCAAGTGGATATTTGGAGCGCTTTGAGGCCTATGGTAGAAAAAGAAATATCTGCCTCTGAAAACCAGACAGAAGCATTCCGAGAAACTTCTTTGTGATGTTTGCATTCAACTAGCAGAGTTGAACTTCCTTTTGATAGGGCAGTTTGGAGACACTCTTTTTGTAGAATCTGCATGTGGATATCTGGAGCGGTTTGAGGCCTACGGTCAAAAAGGAAATATCTTCCTGGGAAAAATAGACGAAAGCATTCTCAGAAACTGCTTTGTGATATGTGCATTCGACTCTCCGAGTTGAAACTTTTTTTTGATAGAGCAGTTTTGAAACACTCTGTAGAATCTGAAAGTGGATATTTGGAGCTCTTCGAGGGCTATGGCGGAAAAGAAAATGTATTCACATTAAACTAGACAGCAGCATTCCCAGAAACTTCTTTAAGATGTTTGCAGTAAACTCACAGAGTTGAACATACCTTTCCGTAGAGCAGCTTTGAAACACTCTGTGTGTGGGATCCGCAAGTGGATATTTGGACCGCTTTGAGACCTTTGCTGGAAACGGGAATATCTTCACATATAAACTGGACAGAAGCATTGTCAGAAACTTCTTCGTGATGTGTGCATTCTACTCCCGAATGTGAATCTTCCTTTTCATGAAGCAGTTTTGAAACACTCTGTTTGTGCAATCCACAATTGGATAATTGGAACGCTTTGATGCCCATGGTAGAAAAGGAAATATCTTCATATAAAAACTAGACAGAAGGATTCTCAGAAAATGCTTTGTGATGTGTGCATTCAAATCACGGAGTTGAATCTTTCTTTTGTTAGAGCAGTTTTGAAACACTGTTTCTGTGGAATCTGCCAGCGGACACTTGGAGCGCTTTGAGGGCTATGGTGGAGAAGGAAATATCTTCACATAAAAACTAGAAAGAAGCATTCTCAGAACCATTTATGTGAAGCGTGCATTCAACTCACAGAGTTGAACCTTCCTTTTGATAGAACAGTTTTGAAACACTCTTTTGAACAATTGCAGGTGAATATTTGGAGGGCTTTGAAGCCTTTGTTGGAAATGGGAATATCTTCACACACAAACTAGCCAGAAGCATTCTCAGAAACTTCTTTGTGATGTGTGCGTTGAACCCAGAGAGATGAACCTTTCCTTGGATAGAGCAGTTTTGAAACGTGTTTTTGTAAGATCGGCAAGCGGATAATTGGCTTCGCTTTGTGTCCTTTGGTGGAATCGGGAATATCTTCTAATAAAAACTAGACAGAAATATTCTCAGAATCTCCTTTGTGATGTGGGCATTCAACTAACACAGTTGAACATTTCTTTTCACAGAGCAGTTTTGAAACACTCTTTTGGTAGAATCTGCCAGTGGATATTTGGTGCGCTTGGAGGGCTATTTTGCCAATGGAAATATCTGCCCCTGAAAACTAGACAGAAGCATTCTCAGAAACTACTTCGTGATGTCTGCATTCAACACACAGAGTTGAACATACCTCTTCACAGAGCAGTTTTGAAAACCTCTTTCTGTAGAATCTGCAAGTGGATATTCGGACCACTTTGAGGCCTTCGTAGGAAACAGTATTATCTTCACATAAAAACTAGATAGAAGCATTGTCAGAAAGTTCTTTGTGATGTGTGAATTCAACTCACAGAGTTGAACCTTCCTTTAATACAGCAGTTTTGAAACACTCTTTTTCTAGAATCTGCAAGTAGATATTTGGAGCGCTTTGAGGCCTTCGTTGGAAACCGGAATATCTTCACAGGAAAAGTAGATAGAGGCATTCTCAGAAACTTTTTCGTGATATGTGGATTCAAGTCACAGCGTTGAACCTTTCTTTTGATAGAGCAGTTTTGTAAAACTCCTTTATCGAATCTGCAAGTAGACATTTGGAGTGCTTTGGGGGCTGTGGTGCAAAAGGAAATGTCTTCCCATAGAAAGTAGACTGAAGCATTCTCAGCAACTTCTTGGTGACGTTTGCATTCATCTCATAGTGTTGAACATACCTTTCCATAGAGTGGTTTTGAAACACTGTTTTTGTAGAATCGGCAAGTGGATATTTGGACTGCTTTGAGGCCTTCATCGGAAACGGGAATATCTTCACATAAACACTAGAGAGAAGCATTCTCAGAAACTACTTTGTGATCTGTCCATTCAACTCACAGAGTTGAACCTTCCTTTTTATGGAGCAGTTTTGAAACACTGTTTTTGGAGAATCTGCAAGTGGATATTTGGAGCGCTTTGAGGCCTATGGTAGAAAAAGAAATATCTGCCTATTACAACTAGACAGAAGCATTCTCAGAAACTTCTTTGTGATGTTTGCATTCAACTACCAGAGTTGAACCTTCCTTTTGATAGGGCAGTTTGGAAACACTCTTTTTGTAGAATCTGCATGTGGATATCTGGAGCGATTTGAGGCCTACGGTCCAAAAGGAAATATCTTCCTGGGAAAAATAGACGAAAGCATTCTCAGAAACTGCTTTTTGATATGTGCATTCGACTCACCGATTTGAAACTTTTTTTGGATAGAGCAGTTTTGAAACACTCTGTAGAATTTGCAAGTGTATATTTGGAGCTCTTTGAGGGCTATGGCGGAAAAGAAAATATATTCACATTAAACTAGACAGCAGCATTCCCAGAAACTTCTTTAGGATGTTTGCAGTAAACTCACAGATTTGAACATACCTTTCCGTAGAGCAGCTTTGAAAAACTCTGTTTGTGGGATCCGCAAGTGGATATTTGGACCGCTTTGAGACCTTTGCTGGAAACGGGAATATCTTCACATATAAACTGGACAGAAGCATTCTCAGAAACTTCTTCGTGATGTGCGCATTCTACTCCCAAATTTGAATCTTCCTTCTCATGAAGCAGTTTTGAAACTCTCTATTTGTGCAATCTACAATTGGATAATTGGAACCCTTTGATGCCCATGGTAGAAAAGGAAATATCCTCATATAAAAACTAGACAGATAAGGATTCACAGAAAATGCTTTGTGATGTGTGCATTCAAATCACGGAGTTGAATCTTTCTTTTGTTAGATCAGTTTTGAAACACTGTTTCTGTGGAATCTGCCAGCGGACACTTGGAGCGCTTTGAGGGCTATGGTGGAGAAGGAAATATCTTCACATAAAAACTAGAAAGAAGCATTCTCAGAACCATTTATGTGAAGCGTGCCTTCAACTCACAGAGTTGAACCTTCCTTTTGATAGAACAGTTTTGAAACACTCTTTTGAACAATTGCAGGTGAATATTTGGAGGGCTTTGAAGCCTTTGTTGGAAATGGGAATATCTTCACACACAAACTAGCCAGAAGCATTCTCAGAAACTTCTTTGTGATGTGTGCGTTGAACCCAGAGAGATGAACCTTTCCTTTGAAAGAGCAGTTTTGAAACGTGTTTTTGTAAGATCTGCAAGCGGATGGTTGGCTTCGCTTTGTGTCCTTTGGTGGAAACGGGAATATCTTCTAATAAAAACTAGACAGAAATATTCTCAGAATCTTCTTTGTGATGTGGGCATTCAACTAACAGAGTTGAACGTTTCTTTTGACAGAGCAGTTTTGAAACACTCTTTTGGTAGAATCTGCCAGTGGATATTTGGAGCGCTTTGAGGGCTATTGTGCCAACGGAAATATCTGCCCCTAAAAACTAGACAGAAGCATTCTCAGAAACTGCTTTGTGATGTTTGCATTCAACTCACAGAGGTGAACATACCTCTTCATAGAGCAGTTTTGCAAACCTCTTTTTGTAGAATCTGCAAGTGGATATTCGGACCACTTTGAGGCCTTCATAGGAAACAGTAATATCTTCACATAAAAACTAGATAGAAGCATTGTCAGAAAGTTCTTTGTGATGTGTGAATTCAACTCACAGAGTTGAACCTTCCTTTAATAGAGCAGTTTTGAAACACTCTTTTTCTAGAATCTGCAAGTAGATACTTGGAGCGCTTTGAGGCCTTCTTTGGAAACCGGGAATATCTTCACATAAAAAGTAGATAGAGGCATTCTCAGAAACTTTTTGTGATATGTAGATTCAACTCACAGCGTTGAACCTTTCTTTGGATGGAGCAGTTTTGAAAAACTCTTTTATCGAATCTGCAGGTAGACATTCGGGGTGCTTTGAGGGCTGTGGTGCAAAAGGAAATGTCTTCCCATAGAAACTAGACTGAAGCATTCTCAGCAACTTCTTGGTGACGTTTGCATTCATCTCACAGTGTTGAACATACCTTTCCATAGAGTGGTTTTGAAACACTGTTTTTGTAGAATGGGCAAGTGGATATTTGGACTGCTTTGAGGCCTTCATCGGAAACGGGAATATCTTCACATAAACACTAGAGAGAAGCATTCTCAGAAACTTCTTTATCATCTGTCCATTCAACTCACAGAGTTGAACCTTCCTTTTTATGGAGCAGTTTTGAAACACTCCTTTTGGAGAATCTGCAAGTGGATATTTGGAGCGCTTTGAGGCCTATGGTAGAAAAAGAAATATCTGCCTCTAAAAACAAGACAGAAGCATTCTCACAAAGTGCTTTGTGATATGTGCATTCGACTCACCGAGTTGAAACTTTTTTATGATAGAGCAGTTTTGAAACACTCTGTAGAATCTGAAAGTGGATATTTGGAGCTCTTCGAGGGCTATGGCGGAAAAGAAAATATATTCACATTAAACTAGACAGCAGCATTCTCAGAAACATCTTTAGGATGTTTGCAGTAAACTCACAGAGTTGAACATACCTTTCCGTAAAGCAGTTTTGAAACCCTCTGTTTGTGGGATCTGCAAGTGGATATTTGGACCGCTTTGAGACCTTTGCTGGAAATGGGAATATCTTCACATATAAACTAGACAGAAGCATTCTCAGAAGCTTCTTCGTGATGTGTGTATTCTACTCCCAAATTTGAATCTTCCTTTTCATGAAGCAGTTTTGAAACACTCTGTTTGTACAATCCACAATTGCATAATTGGAACGCTTTGATGCCCATGGTAGAAAAGGAAATATCCTCATATAAAAACTAGACAGAAGGATTCACAGAAAATGCTTTGTGATGTGTGCATTCAAATCACGGAGTTGAATCTTTCTTTTGTTAGAGCAGTTTTGAAACACTGTTTCTGTGGAATCTGCCAGCAGACACTTGGAGCGCTTTGAGGGCTATGGTGGAGAAGGAAATATCTTCCCATAAAAACTAGAAAGAAGCATTCTCGGAAACATTTATGTGAAGCGTGCATTCAACTCACAGAGTTGAACCTTTCTTTTGATAGAACAGTTTTGAAACACTCTTTTGAACAATTGCAGGTGAATCTTTGGAGCGCTTTGAAGGCTTTGTTGGAAATGGGAATATCTTCACACACAAACTAGCCAGAAGCATTCTCAGAAACTTCTTTGTGATGTGTGCGTTGAACCCAGAGAGATGAAACTTTCCTTTGATAGAGCAGTTTTGAAACGTGTTTTTGTAAGATCTGCAAGCGGATAATTGGCTTCGCTTTGTGTCCTTTGGTGGAAACGGGAATATCTTCTAATAAAATCTAGACAGAAATATTCTCAGAATCTCCTTTGTGATGTGGGCATTCAACTAACACAGTTGAACATTTCTTTTCACAGAGCAGTTTTGAGACACTCTTTTGGTAGAATCTGCCAGTGGATCTTTGGAGCGCTTTGAGGGCTGTTGTGCCAATGGAAATATCTGCCCCTAAAATCTAGACAGAAGCATTCTCAGAAACTGCTTCGTGATGTTTGCATTCAACTCACAGACTTGAACATACCTCTTCATAGAGCAGTTTTGAAAACCTCTTTTTGTAGAATCTGCAAGTGGATATTCGGACCACTTTGAGGCCTTCATAGGAAACAGTAATATCTTCACATAAAAACTAGATAGAAGCATTGTCAGAAAGTTCTTTGTGATGTGTGAATTCAACTCACAGAGTTGAACCTTCCTTCAATAGAGCAGTTGTGAAACACTCTTTTTCTAGAATCTGCAAGTAGATATTTGGAGCGCTTTGAGGCCTTCGTTGGAAACCGGAATATCTTCACAGGAAAAGTAGATAGAGGCATTCTCAGAAACTTTTTCGTGATATGTGGATTCAACTCACGGCGTTGAACCTTTCTTTTGATAGAGCAGTGTTGTAAAACTCTTTTATCGAATCTGCAAGTAGACATTTGGAGTGCTTTGGGGGCTGTGGTGCAAAAGGAAATGTCTTCCCATAGAAACTAGACTGAAGCATTCTCAGCAACTTCTTTGTGACGTTTGCATTCATCTCACAGTGTTGAACATACCTTTCCATAGAGTAGATTTGAAACACTATTTTTGTAGAATCTGCAAGTGGATATTTGGACTGCTTTGAGGCCTCCATCGGAAACGGGAATATATTCACATAAACACTAGACAGAAGCATTCTCAGAAACTTCTTTGTCATCTGTCCATTCAACTCACAGAATTGAACCTTCCTTTTTATGGAGCAGTTTTGAAACACTCTTTTGGTAGAATCTGCCAGTGGATATTTGGAGCGCTTGGAGGGCTATTGTGCCAATGGAAATATCTGCCCCTGAAAACTAGACAGAAGCATTCTGAGAAAAGTTCTTTGTGATGTTTGCATTCAACTAGCAGAGTTGAACCTTCCTTTTGATAGGGCAGTTTGGAAACACTCTTTTTGTAGAATCTTCATGTGGATATCTGGAGCGGTTTGAGGCCTACGGTCAAAAAGGAAATATCTTCCTGGGAAAAATAGACGAAAGCATTCTCAGAAAGTGCTTTGTGATATGCGCATTCGACTCACCGAGTTGAAACTTTTTTTTGATACAGCAGTTTTGAAACACTCTGTAGAATCTGAAAGTGGATATTTGGAGCTCTTTGAGGGCTATGGCGGAAAAGAAAATATATTCACATTAAAGTAGTCAGCAGCATTCTCAGAAACTTCTTTAGGATGTTTGCAGTAAACTCACAGAGTTGAACATACCTTTCCGTAGAGCAGTTTTGAAACACTCTGTTTGTGGGATCCGCAAGTGGATATTTGGACCGCTTTGAGACCTTTGCTGGAAATGGGAATATCTGCACATTTAAACTAGACAGAAGCATTCTCAGAAACTTCTTGGTGATGTGTGCATTGTACTCCCAAATTTGAATCTTCCTTCTCATGGAGCAGTTTTCAAACACTCTGTTTGTGCAATCTACAATTGGAGAATTGGAAGGCTTGGATGCCCGTGGTAGAAAAGGAAATATCCTCATATAAAAACTAGACAGAAGGATTCACAGAAAATGCTTTGTGATGTGTGCATTCAAATCACGGAGTTGAATCTTTCTTTTGTCAGAGCAGTTTTGAAACACTGTTTCTGTGGAATCTGCCAGCGGACACTTGGAGCGCTTTGAGGGCTATGGTTGAGAAGGAAATATCTTCCCATAAAAACTAGAAAGAAGCATTCTCAGAAACATTTATGTGAAGCGTGCATTCAACTCACAGAGTTGAACCTTCCTTTTGATAGAACAGTTTTGAAACACTCTTTTGAACAATTGCAGGTGAATCTTTGGAGCGCTTTGAAGCCTTTGTTGGAAATGGGAATATCTTCACACACAAACTAGCCAGAAGCATTCTCAGAAACTTCTTTGTGATGTGTGCGTTGAACCCAGAGAGATGAACCTTTCCTTCGATAGAGCAGTTTTGAAACGCGTTTTTGTAAGATCGGTAAGCGGATAATTGGCTTCGCTTTGTGTCCTTCGGTGGAAACGGGAATATCTTCTAATAAAAACTAGACAGAAATATTCTCAGAATCTCCTTTGTGATGTGGGCATTCAACTAACACAGTTGAACATTTCTTTTCACAGAGCAGTTTTGAAACACTCTTTTGGTAGAATCTGCCAGTGGATATTTGGAGCGCTTGGAGGGCTGTTGTGCCAATGGAAATACCTGCCCCTGAAATCTGGACAGAAGCATTCTCAGAAACTACTTCGTGATGTTTGCATTCAACACACAGAGTTGAACATACCTCTTCACAGAGCAGTTTTGAAAACCTCTTTCTGTAGAATCTGTAAGTGGATATTGGGACCACTTTGAGGCCTTCATAGGAAACAGTAATATCTTCACATAAAAACTAGATGGAAGCATTCTCAGAAAGTTCTTTGTGATGTGTGAATCCAACTCACAGAGTTGAACCTTCCTTTAATACAGCAGTGTTGAAACACTCCTTTTCTAGAATCTGCAAGTAGATATTTGGAGCGCTTTGAGGCCTTCGTTGGAAACCGGAATATCTTCACAGGAAAAGTAGATAGAGGCATTCTCAGAAACTTTTTTGTGATATGTTGATTCATCTGACAGCGTTGAACCTTTCCTTTGATAGAGCAGTTTTGAAAAACTCTTTTGTCGAATCTGCAAGTAGACATTTGGAGTGCTTTGAGGTCTGTGGTGCCAAAGGAAATGTCTTCCCATGGAAACTAGACTGAAGCATTCTCAGCAACTTCTTTGTGACGTTTGCATTCATCTCACAGTGTTGAACATACCTTTCCATAGAGTAGTTTTGAGACACTATTTTTGTAGAATCTGCAAGCGGATATTTGGACTGCTTTGAGGCCTTCATCGGAGACGGGAATATCTTCACATAAACACTAGGCAGAAGCATTCTCAGAAACTACTTTGTGATCTGTCCATTCAACTCACAGAGTTGAACCTTCCTTTTTATGGAGCAGTTTTGAAACACTGTTTTTGGAGAATCTGCAAGTGGATATTTGGAGCGCTTTGAGGCCTATGGTAGAAAAAGAAATATCTGCCTCTAAAAACTAGACAGAAGCATTCTGAGAAACTTCTTTGTGATGTTTGCATTCAACTACCAGAGTTGAATCTTCCTTTTGATAGGGCAGTTTGGAAACACTCTTTTTGTAGAATCTGCATGTGGATATCTGGAGCGATTTGAGGCCTATGGTCAAAAAGGAAATATCTTCCTGGGAAAAATAGACGAAAGAATTCTCAGAAACTGCTTTGTGACATGTGCATTCGACTCACCGTGTTGAAACTGTTTTTCGATAGAGCAGTTTTGAAACACTCTGTAGAATCTGAAAGTGGATATTTGGAGCTCTTTGAGGGCTATGGCGGAAAAGAAAATATATTCACATTAAAGTAGACAGCAGCATTCTCAGAAACTTCTTTAGGATGTTTGCAGTAAACTCACAGAGTTGAACATACCTTTCGGTAGAGCAGTTTTGAAACACTGTTTGTGGGATCCGCAAGTGGATATTTGCACCGCTTTGAGACCTTTGCTGGAAATGGGAATATCTTCACATATAAACTAGACGGAAGCATTCTCAGAAACTTCTTCGTGATGTGTGCATTCTACTCCCGAATTTGAATCTTCCTTTTCATGAAGCAGTTTTGAAACACTCTGTTTGTGCAATCCACAAGTGGATAATTGGAACGCTTTGATGCGCATGGTAGAAAAGGAAATATCCTCATATAAAAACTAGACAGAAGGATTCACAGAAAATGCTTTGTGATGTGTGCATTCAAATCACGGAGTTGAATCTTTCTTTTGTTAGAGCAGTTTTGAAACACTGTTTCTGTGGAATCTGCCAGCGGACACTTGGAGCGCTTTGAGGGCTATGGTGGAGAAGGGAAATATCTTCCCATAAAAACTAGAGAGAAGCATTCTCGGAAACATTTATGTGAAGCGTGCATTCAACTCACAGAGTTGAACCTTTCTTTTGAGAGAACAGTTTTGAAACACTCTTTTGAACAATTGCAGGTGAATCTTTGGAGCGCTTTGAAGGCTTTGTTGGAAATGGGAATATCTTCACACACAAACTAGCCAGAAGCATTCTCAGAAACTTCTTTGTGATGTGTGCGTTGAACCCAGAGAGATGAACCTTTCCTTTGATAGAGCAGTTTTGAAACGTGTTTTTGTAAGATCTGCAAGCGGATAGTTGGCTTCGCTTTGTGTCCTTTGGTGGAAACGGGAATATTTTCTAATAAAAACTAGACAGAAATATTCTCAGAATCTTCTTTGTGATGTGGGCATTCAACTAACACAGTTGAACCTTTCTTTTCACAGAGCAGTTTTGAAAGACTCTTTTGGTAGAATCTGCCAGTGGATATTTGGAGCGCTTTGAGGGCTATTGTGCCAATGGAAATATCTTCCCCTAAAAACTAGACAGAAGCATTCTCAGAAACTGCTTTGTGATGTTTGCATTCAACTCACAGAGTTGAACATACCTTTTCATAGAGCAGTTTTGAAAACCTCTTTTTGTAGAATCTGCAAGAGGATATTCGGACCACTTTGAGGCCTTCATAGGAAACAGTAATATCTTCGCATAAAAACTAGATAGAAGCATTGTCAGAAAGTTCTTTGTGATGTGTGAAATCAACTCACAGAGTTGAACCTTCCTTTAATAGAGCAGTTTTGAAACACTCTTTTTCTAGAATCTGCAAGTAGATATTTGGAGCGCTTTGAGGCCTTCTTTGGAAACCGGAATATCTTCACATAAAAAGTAGATAGAGGCATGCTCAGAAACTTTTCTGTCATATGTAGATTCAACTCACAGCGTTGAACCTTTCTTTTGATAGAGCAGTTTTGAAAAACTCTTTTATCGAATCTGCAAGTAGACATTTGGAGTGCTTTGAGGGCTGTGGTGCAAAAGGAAATGTCTTCCCGTAGAAACTAGACTGAAGCATTCTCAGCAACTTCTTGGTGACGTTTGCATTCATCTCACAGTGTTGAACATACCTCTCCATAGAGTGGTTTTGAAACACTGTTTTTGTAGAATCGGCAAGTGGATATTTGGACTGCTTTGAGGCCTTCATCGGAAACGGGAATATCTTCACATAAACACTAGAGAGAAGCATTCTCAGAAACTTCTTTGTGATCTGTCCATTCAACTCACAGAGTTGAACCTTCCTTTTTATGGAGCAGTTTTGAATCACTGTTTTTGGAGAATCTGCAAGTGGATATTTGGAGTGCTTTGAGGCCTATGGTAGAAAAAGAAATATCTGCCTCTAAAAACCAGACAGAAGCATTCTGAGAAACTTCTTTGTGATGTTTGCATTCAACTACCAGAGTTGAATCTTCCTTTTGATAGGGCAGTTTGGAAACACTCTTTTTGTAGAATCTGCATGTGGATATCTGGAGCGATTTGAGGCCTACGGTCCAAAAGGAAATATCTTCCTGGGAAAAATAGAGGAAAGCATTCTCAGAAACTGCTTTGTGATATGTGCATTCGACTCACCGAGTTGAAACTTTTTTTGGATAGAGCAGTTTTGAAACACTCTGTAGAATCTGAAGGTGGATATTTGGAGCTCTTTGAGGGCTATGGCGGAAAAGAAAAGATATTCACATTAAACTAGACAGCAGCATTCTCAGAGACTTCTTGAGGATGTTTGCAGTAAACTCACAGAGTTGAACATACCTTTCCGTAAAGCAGTTTTGAAACCCTCTGTTTGTGGGATCTGCAAGTGGATATTTGGACCGCTTTGAGACCTTTGCTGGAAATGGGAATATCTTCACATATAAACTAGACAGAAGCATTCTCAGAAACTTCTTCGTGATGTGTGCATTCTCCTCGCAAATTTGAATCTTCCTTTTCATGAAGCAGTTTTGAAACACTCTGTTTGTGCAATCCACAATTGGATAATTGGAACGCTTTGATGCCCATGGTAGAAAAGGAAATATCCTCATATAAAAACTAGACAGAAGGATTCACAGAAAATGCTTTGTGATGTGTGCATTCAGATCACGGAGTTGAATCTTTCTTTTGTTAGAGCAGTTTTGAAACACTGTTTCTGTGCAATCTGCCAGCGGACACTTGGAGCGCTTTGAGGGCTATGGTGGAGAAGGAAATATCTTCACATAAAAACTAGAAAGAAAAGCATTCTCAGAAACATTTATGTGAAGCGTGCATTCAACTCACAGAGTTGAACCTTCCTTTTGATACAACAGTTTTGAAACACTCTTTTGAACAATTGCAGGTGAATCTTTGGAGCGCTTTGAAGCCTTTGTTGCAAATGGGAATATCTTCACACACAAACTAGCCAGAAAGCATTCTCAGAAACTTCTTTGTGATGTGTGCGTTGAACCCAGAGAGATGAACCTTTCCTTTGATAGAGCAGTTTTGAAACGTGTTTTTGTAAGATCGGCAAGCGGATAATTGGCTTCGCTTTGTGTCCTTTGGTGGAAACGGGAATATCTTCTAATAAAAACTAGACAGAATATTCTCAGAATCTCCTTTGTGATGTGGGCATTCAACTAACACAGTTGAACATTTCTTTTCACAGAGCAGTTTTGAAACACTCTTTTGGTAGAATCTGCCAGTGGATACTTGGAGAGCTTGGAGGGCTATTGTGCCAATGGAAATATCTGCCCCTGAAAACTAGACAGAAGCATTCTCAGAAACTACTTCGTGATGTTTGCATTCAACACACAGAGTTGAACATACCTCTTCACAGAGCAGTTTTGAAAACCTCTTTCTGTAGAATCTGCAAGTGGATATTCGGACCACTTTGAGGCCTTCACAGGAAACAGTAATATCTTCACATAAAAACTAGACAGAAGCATTGTCAGAAAGTTCTTTGTGATGTGTGAATTCAACTCACAGTGTTGAACCTTCTTTTCATAGAGCAGTTTTGAAACACTCTTTTTCTAGAATCTGCAAGTAGATATTTGGAGCGCTTTGAGGCCTTCGTTGGAAACCGGAATATCTTCACATAAAAAGTAGATAGAGGCATTCTCAGAAACTTTTTTGTGATATGTAGATTCAACTCACAGCGTTGAACCTTTCTTTTGATAGAGCAGTTTTGGAAAACTCTTTTATCGAATCTGCAAGTAGACATTTGGAGTGCTTTGAGGGCTCTGGTGCAAAAGGAAATGTCTTCCCATAGAAACTAGACTGAAAGCATTCTCAGCAACTTCTTGGTGACGTTTGCATGCATCTCACAGTGTTGAACATACCTTTGCATAGAGCGGTTTTGAAACACTATTTTTGTAGAATCTGCAAGTGGATATTTGGACTGCTTTGAGGCCTTCATCGGAAACGGGAATATCTTCACATAAACACTAGACAGAAGCATTCTGAGAAACTTCTTTGTGATCTGTCCATTCAACTCACAGAGTTGAACCTTCCTTTTTATGGAGCAGTTTTGAATCACTGTTTTTGGAGAATCTGCAAGTGGATATTTGGAGCGCTTTGAGGCCTATGGTAGAAAAAGAAATATCTGCCTCTAAAAACCAGACAGAAGCATTCCGAGAAACTTCTTTGTGATGTTTGCATTCAACTAGCAGAGTTGAACCTTCCATTTGATAGGGCAGTTTGGAAACACTCTTTTTGTAGAATCTGCATGTGGATATCTGGAGCGGTTTGAGGCCTACGGTCAAAAAGGAAATATCTTCCTGGGAAAAATAGACGAAAGCATCCTCAGTAAACTGCTTTGTGATATGTGCATTCGACTCACTGAGTTGAAACTTTTTTTGGATAGAGCAGTTTTGAAACACTCTGTAGAATCTGAAAGTGGATATTTGGAGCTCTTTGAGGGCTATGGCGGAAAAGAAAATATATTCACATTAAACTAGACAGCAGCATTCTCAGAAACTTCTTTAGGATGTTTGCAGTAAACTCACAGAGTTGAACATACCTTTCCGTAGAGCAGTTTTGAAACACTCTGTTTGTGGGATCCGCAAGTGGATATTTGGACCGATTTGAGACCTTTGCTGCAAATGGGAATATCTTCACATATAAACTAGACAGAAGCATTCTCAGAAACTTCCTCGTGATGTGTGCATTCTACTCCCGAATTTGAATCTTCCTTTTCATGAAGCAGTTTTGAAACACTCTGTTTGTGCAATCCACAATTGGATAATTGGAACGCTTTGATGCCCATGGTAGAAAAGGAAATATCCTCATATGAAAACTAGACAGAATGATTCACAGAAAATGCTTTGTGATGTGTGCATTCAAATCACGGAGTTGAATCTTTCTTTTGTCAGAGCAGTTTTGAAACACTGTTTCTGTGGAATCTGCCAGTGGACACTTGGAGCGCTTTGAGGGCTGTGGTGGAGAAGGAAATATCTTCCCATAAAAACTAGAAAGAAGCATTCTCAGAAACATTTATGTGAAGCGTGCATTCAACTCACAGAGTTGAACCTTCCTTTGATACAACAGTTTTGAAACACTCTTTTGAACAATTGCAGGTGAATCTTTGGAGCGCTTTGAAGCCTTTGTTGGAAATGGGAATATCTTCACACGCAAACTAGCCAGAAGCATTCTCAGAAACTTCTTTGTGATGTGTGCGTTGAACCCAGAGAGATGAACCTTTCCTTTGATAGAGCAGTTTTGAAACGTGTTTTTGTAAGATCTGCAAGCGGATAGTTGGCTTCGCTTTGTGTCCTTTGGTGGAAACGGCAATATCTTCTAATAAAAACTAGAGAGAAATATTCTCAGAATCTACTTTGTGATGTGGGCATTCAACTTACACAGTTGAACATTTCTTTTCACAGAGCAGTTTTGAAACACTCTTTTGGTAGAATCTGCCAGTGGATATTTGGAGCGCTTGGAGGGCTATTGTGCCAATGGAAATATCTGCCCCTGAAAACTAGACAGAAGCATTCTCAGAAACTACTTTGTGATGTTTGCATTCAACTCACAGAGTTGAACATACCTCTTCATAGAGCAGTTTTGAAAACCCCTTTTTGTAGAATCTGCAAGTGGATATTCGGACCACTTTGAGGCCTTCATAGGAAACAGTAACATCTTCACATAAAAACTAGATAGAAGCATTGTCAGAAAGTTCTTTGTGATGTGTGAATTCAACTCACAGAGTTGAACCTTCCTTTAATAGAGCAGTTTTGAAACACTCTTTTTCTACAATCTGCAAGTAGATATTTGGAGCGCTTGGAGGCCTTCGTTGGAAACCGGAATATCTTCACAGGAAATGTAGATAGAGGCATTCTCAGAAACTTTTTTGTGATATGTAGATTCAACTTACAGCGTTGAACCTTTCTTTGGATGGAGCAGTTTTGAAAAACCCTTTTATCGAATCTGCAGGTAGACATTTGGGGTGCTTTGAGGGCTGTGGTGCAAAAGGAAATGTCTTCCCATAGAAACTAGACTGAAGCATTCTCAGCAACTTCTTTGTGACGTTTGCATTCATGTCACAGTGTTGAACATACCTTTCCATAGAGTAGTTTTGAAGCACTATTTTTGTAGAATCTGCAAGTGGATATTTGGACTGCTTTGAGGCCTTCATCGGAAACGGGAATATCTTCACATAAACACTAGACAGAAGCATTCTCAGAAACTTCTTTGTGGTCTGTCCATTCAACTCACAGAGTTGAACCTTCCTTTATATGGAGCAGTTTTGAAACCCTGTTTTTGGAGAATCTGCAAGTGGATATTTGGAGCACTTTGAGGCCTATGGTAGAAAAAGAAATATCTGCCTATCACAGCTAGACAGAAGCATTCCGAGAAACTTCTTTGTGATGTTTCCATTCAACTAGCAGAGTTGAACCTTCCTTTTGATAGGGCAGTTTGGAGACACTCTTTTTGTAGAATCTGCATGTGGATATCTGGAGCGGTTTGAGGCCTACGGTCAAAAAGGAAATATCTTCCTGGGAAAAATAGACGAAAGCATTCTCAGAAAGTGCTTTGTGATATGTGCATTCGACTCACCAAGTTGAAACTTTTTTTTGATAGAGAAGTTTTGAAACACTCTGTAGAATCTGAAAGTGGATATTTGGAGCTCCTTGAGGGCTATGGCGGAAAAGAAAATATATTCACATTAAAGTAGACAGCAGCATTCTCAGAAACTTCTTTAGGATGTTTGCAGTAAACTCTCAGAGTTGAACCTACCTTTCCGTAGAGCAGTTTTGAAACACTCTGTTTGTGGGATCCGCAAGTGGATATTTGGACCGCTTTGAGACCTTTGCTGGAAATGGGAATATCTTCACATATAAACTAGACAGAAGCATTCTCAGAAACTTCTTCGTGATGTGTGCATTCTACTCCCGAATTTGAATCTTCCTTTTCATGAAGCAGTTTTGAAACACTCTGTTAGCGCAATCCACAATTGGATAATTGGAACGCTTTGATGCCCATGGTAGAAAAGGAAATATCCTCATATAAAAACTAGACAGAAGGATTCACAGAAAATGCTTTGTGATGTGTGCATTCAAATCACGGAGTTGAATCTTTCTTTTGTTAGAGCAGTTTTGAAACACTGTTTCTGTGGAATCTGCCAGCGTACACTTGGAGCGCTTTGAGGGCTACGGTGGAGAAGGAAATATCTTCACATAAAAACTAGAAAGACGCATTCTCAGAAACATTTATGTGAAGCGTGCATTCAACTCACAGAGTTGAACCTTCCTTTTGATAGAACAGTTTTGAAACACTCTTTTGAACAATTGCAGGTGAATCTTTGGAGCGCTTTGAAGCCTTTGTTGGAAATGGGAATATCTTCACACACAAACTAGCCAGAAGCATTCTCAGAAACTTCCTTGTGATGTGTGCGTTGAACCCAGAGAGATGAACCATTCCTTTGATAGAGCAGTTTTGAAACGTGTTTTTGTAAGATCTGCAAGCGGATAGTTGGCTTCGCTTTGTGTCCTTTGGTGGAAACGGGAATATCTTCTAATAAAAACTAGACAGAAATATTCTCAGAATCTCCTTTGTGAAGTGGGCATTCAACTAACACAGTTGAACATTTCTTTTCACAGAGCAGTTTTGAAACACTCTTTTGGTAGAATCTGCCAGTGGATATTTGGAGCGCTTGGAGGGCTATTGTGCCAATGGAAATATCTGCCCCTGAAAACTAGACAGAAGCATTCTCAGAAACTACTTCGTGATGTCTGCATTCAACACACAGAGTTGAACATACCTCTTCAGAGAGCAGTTTTGAAAACCTCTTTCTGTAGAATCTGCAAGTGGATATTCGGGCCACTTTGAGGCCTTCATAGGAAACAGTAATATCTTCACATAAAAACTAAATAGAAGCATTGTCAGAAAGTTCTTTGTGATGCGTGAATTCAACTCACAGAGTTGAACCTTCCTTTAATAGAGCAGTTTTGAAACACTCTTTTTCTAGAATCTGCAAGTAGATATTTGGAGCGCTTTGAGGCCTTCGTTGGAAACCGGAATATCTTCACAGGAAAAGTAGATAGAGGCATTCTCAGAAACTTTTTTGTGATATGTAGATTCAACTCACAGCGTTGAACCTTTCTTTGGATGGAGCAGTTTTGAAAAACTCTTTTATCGAATCTGCAGGTAGACTTTCGGGGTGCTTTGAGAGCTGTGGTGCAAAAGGAAATGTCTTCCCATAGAAACTAGACTGAATCATTCTCAGCAACTTCTTGGTGACGTTTGCATTCATCTCACAGTGTTGAACATACCTTTGCATAGAGTAGTTTGGAAACACTATTTTTGTAGAATCTGCAAGTGGACATTTGGACTGCTTTGAGGCCTTCATCGGAAACGGGAATATCTTCACATAAACACTAGACAGAATCATTCTCAGAAACTTCTTTGTCATCTGTCCATTCAACTCACAGAGTTGAACCTTCCTTTTTCTGGAGCAGTTTTGAAACACTCCTTTTGGAGAATCTGCAAGTGGATATTTGGAGCGCTTTGAGGCCTATGGTAGAAAAAGAAATATCTGCCTCTAAAAACCAGACAGAAACATTCCAAGAAACTTCTCTGTGATGTTTGCATTCAACTAGCAGAGTTGAACCTTCCTTTTGATAGGGCAGTTTGGAAATACTCTTTTTGTAGAATCTGCATTTGGATATCTGGAGCGGTTTGAGGCCTACGGTCAAAAAGGAAATATCTTCCTGGGAAAAATAGACGAAAGCATTCTCAGAAACTGCTTTGTGATATGTGCATTCGAATCACCGAGTTGAAACTTTTTTTTCATAGAGCAGTTTTGAAACACTCTGTAGATTCTGAAAGTGGCTATTTGGAGGTCTTTGAGGGCTATGGCGGAAAAGAAAATATATTCACATTAAACTAGACAGCAGCATTCTCAGAAACCTCTTTAGGATGTTTGCAGTAAACTCACAGAGTTGAACATACCTTTCCGTAGAGCAGTTTTGAAACACTCTGTTTGTGGGATCCGCAAGGGGATATTTGGACCGCTTTGAGACCTTTGCTGGAAATGGGAATATCTTCACATATAAACTAGACAGAAGCATTCTCAGAAACTTCTTTCGTGATGTGTGCATTCTACTCCCAAATTTGAATCTTCCTTTTCATGAAGCAGTTTTGAAACACTCGGTTTGTGCAATCCACAATTGGATAATTGGAACGCTTTGATGCCCATGGTAGAAAAGGAAATATCCTCATATAAAAACTAGACAGAAGGATTCACAGAAAATGCTTTGTGATGTGTGCATTCAAATCACGGAGTTGAATCTTTCTTTTGTCAGAGCAGTTTTGAAACACTGTTTCTGTGGAATCTGCCAGCGGACACTTGGAGCGCTTTGAGGACTATGGTGGAGAAGGAAATATCTTCCCATAAAAACTAGAAAGAAGCATTCTCAGAACCATTTATGTGAAGCATGCATTCAACTCACAGAGTTGAACCTTCCTTTTGATAGAACAGTTTTGAAACACTCTTTTGAACAATTGCAGGTGAATATTTGGAGGGCTTTGAAGCCTTTGTTGGAAACGGGAATATCTTCACACACGAACTAGCCAGAAGCTTTCTCAGAAACTTCTTTGTGATGTGTGCGTTGAACCCAGAGAGATGAACCTTTCCTTTGATAGAGCAGTTTTGAAACGTGTTTTTGTAAGATCTGCAAGCGGATAGTTGGCTTCGCTTTGTGTCCTTTGGTGGAAACGGGAATATCTTCTAATAAAAACTAGACAGAAATATTCTCAGAATCTTCTTTGTGATGTGGGCATTCAACTAACAGAGTTGAACGTTTCTTTTCACAGAGCAGTTTTGAAACTCTCTTTTGGTAGAATCTGCCAGTGGATATTTGGAGCGCTTTGAGGGCTATTGTGCCAACGGAAATATCTGCCCCTAAAAACTAGACAGAAGCATTCTCAGAAACTACTTCGTGATGTTTGCATTCAACACACAGAGTTGAACATACCCCTTCCCAGAGCAGTTTTGAAAACCTCTTTCTGTAGAATCTGCAAGTGGATATTCGGACCACTTTGAGGCCTTCATAGGAAACAGTAATATCTTCACATAAAAACTAAAAAGAAGCATTGTCAGAAAGTTCTTTGTGATGTGTGAATTCAACTCACAGAGTTGAACCTTCCTTTAATAGAGCAGTTTTGAAACACTCTTTTTCTAGAATCTGCAAGTAGATATTTGGAGCGCTTTGAGGCCTTCGTTGGAAACTGGAATATCTTCACAGGAAAAGTAGATAGAGGCATTCTCAGAAACTTTTTTGTGATATGTAGATTCAACTCACAGCGTTGAACCTTTCTTTGGATGGAGCAGTTTTGAAAAACTCCTTTATCGAATCTGCAGGTAGACATTTGGGGTGCTTTGAGGGCTGTGGTGCAAAAGGAAATGTCTTCCCATAGAAACTAGACTGAAGCATTCTCAGCAACTTCTTGGTGACGTTTGCATTCATCTCACAGTGTTGAACATACGTTTCCATAGAGTGGTTTTGAAACACTGTTTTTGTAGAATCGGCAAGTGGATATTTGGACTGCTTTCAGGCCTTCATCGGAAACGGGAATATCTTCACATAAACACTAGAGAGAAGCATTCTCAGAAACTTCTTTGTCATCTGTCCATTCAACTCACAGAGTTGAACCTTCCTTTTTATGGAGCAGTTTTGAAACACTCCTTTTGGAGAATCTGCAAGTGGATATTTGGAGCGCTTTGAGGCCTATGGTAGAAAAAGAAATATCTGCCTCTAAAAACCAGACAAAAGCATTCTGAGAAACTTCTTTGTGATGTTTGCATTCAAATACCAGCAGTTGAACCTTCCTTTTGATAGGGCAGTTTGGAAACATTCTTTTTGTAGAATCTGCATGTGGATATCTGGAGCGATTTGAGGCCTACGGTCAAAAAGGAAATATCTTCCTGGGAAAAATAGACGAAAGCATTCTCAGAAAGTGCTTTGTGATATGTGCATTCGGCTCACCGATTTGAAACCTTTTTTTGATAGAGCAGTTTTAAAACACACTGTAGAATCTGAAAGTGGATATTTGGAGCTCTTTGAGGGCTATGGCGGAAAAGAAAATATATTCACATTAAAGTAGACAGCCAGCATTCTCAGAAACTTCTTTAGGATGTTTGCAGTAAACTCACAGAGTTGAACATACCTTTCCGTAGAGCAGTTTTGAAACACTCTGTTTGTGGGATCCGCAAGTGGATATTTGGACCGCTTTGAGACCTTTGCTGGAAATGGGAATATCTTCACGTATAAACTAGACAGAGCATTCTCAGAAACTTCTTGGTGATGTGTGCATTGTACTCCCAAATTTGAATCTTCCTTCTCATGGAACAGTTTTGAAACACTCTGTTTGTGCAATATACAATTGGAGAATTGGAACGCTTGGATGCCCGTGGTAGAAAAGGAAATATCCTCATATAAAAACTAGACAGAAGGATTCACAGAAAATGCTTTGTGATGTGTGCATTCAAATCACGGAGTTGAATCTTTCTTTTGTCAGAGCAGTTTTGAAACACTGTTTCTGTGGAATCTGCCAGCGGACACTTGGAGCGCTTTGAGGGCTATGGTGGAGAAGGAAATATCTTCCCATAAAAACTAGAAAGAAGCATTCTCGGAAACATTTATGTGAAGCGTGCATTCAACTCACAGAGTTGAACCTTCCTTTTGATAGAACAGTTTTGAAACACTCTTTTGAACAATTACAGGTGAATCTTTGGAGCGCTTTGAAGCCTTTGTTGGAAATGGGAATATCTTCACACACAAACTAGCCAGAAGCATTCTCAGAAACTTCTTCGTGATGTGTGCGTTGAACCCAGAGAGATGAACCTTTCCTTCGATAGAGCAGTTTTGAAACGTGCTTTTGTAAGATCTGCAAGCGCATAATTGGCTTCACTTTGTGTCCTTTGGTTGAAACGGGAATATCTTCTAATAAAAACTAGACAGAAATATTCTCAGAATCTCCTTTGTGATGTGGGCATTCAACTAACACAGTTGAACATTTCTTTTCACAGAGCAGTTTTGAAACACTCTTTTGGTAGAATCTGCCAGTGGATACTTGGAGCGCTTGGAGGGCTATTGTGCCAATGGAAATATCTGCCCCTGAAAACTAGACAGAAGCATTCTCAGAAACTGCTTTGTGATGTTTGCATTCAACTCACAGAGTTGAACATACCTTTTCATAGAGCAGTTTTGAAAATATCTTTTTGTAGAATCTGCAAGTGGATATTCGGACCAGTTTGAGGCCTTCATAGGAAACAGTAATATCTTCACATAAAAACTAGATAGAAGCATTGTCAGAAAGTTCTTTGTGATGTGTGAATTCAACCCACAGAGTTGAACCTTCCTTTAATAGAGCAGTTTTGAAACACTCTTTTTCTAGAGTCTGCAAGTAGATATTTGGAGCGCTTTGAGGCCTTCTTTGGAAACCGGAATATCTTCACATAAAAAGTAGATAGAGGCATTCTCAGAAACTTTTTTGTGATATGTTGATTCATCTGACAGCGTTGAACCCTTCTTTTGATAGAGCAGTTTTGAAAAACTCTTTTGTCGAATCTGCAAGTAGACATTTGGAGTGCTTTGAGGGCTGTGGTGCCAAAGGAAATGTCTTCCCATGGAAACTAGACTGAAGCATTCTCAGCAACTTCTTTGTGACGTTTGCATTCATCTCACAGTGTTGAACATACCTTTCCATAGAGTAGTTTTGAGACACTATTTTTGTAGAATCTGCAAGTGGATATTTGGACTGCTTTGAGGCCTTCATCGGAGACGGGAATATCTTCACATAAACACTAGACAGAAGCATTCTCAGAAACTTCTTTGTCATCTGTCCATTCAACTCACAGAGTTGAACCTTCCTTTTTATGGAGCCGTTTTGAAACACTCCTTTTGGAGAATCTGCAAGTGGATATTTGGAGCGCTTTGAGGCCTATGGTAGAAAAAGAAATATCCGCCCCTAAAAACCAGACAGAAGCATTCTGAGAAACTTCTTTGTGATGTTTGCATTCAACTACCAGAGTTGAACCTTCCTTTTGATAGGGCAGTTTGGAAACACTCTTTTTGTAGAATCTGCATGTGGATATCTGGAGCGATTTGAGGCCTACAGTCAAAAAGGAAATATCTTCCTGGGAAAAATAGACGAAAGCATTCTCAGAAACTGCTTTCTGATATGTGCATTCGACTCACCGAGTTGAAACTTTTTTTTGATAGAGAAGTTTTGAAACACTCTGTAGAATCTGAAAGTGGATATTTGGAGCTCTTTGAGGGCTATGGCGGAAAAGAAAATATATTCACATTAAACTAGACAGCAGAATTCCCAGAAAATTCTTTAGGATGTTTGCAGTAAACTCACAGAGTTGAACATACCTTTCCGTAGAGCAGTTTTGAAACACTCTGTTTGTGGGATCCGCAATTGGATTTTGGACCGCTTTGAGACCTTTGCTGGAAACGGGAATATCTTCACATATAAACTAGACAGAAGCATTCTCAGAAACTTCTTCATGATGTGTGCATTCTACTCCCGAATTTGAATCTTCCTTTTCATGAAGCAGTTTTGAAACACTCTGTTTGTGCAATCCACAATTGGATAATTGGAACGCTTTGATGCCCATGGTAGAAAAGGAAATATCCTCATATAAAAACTAGACAGAAGGATTCACAGAAAATGCTTTGTGATGTGTGCATTCAAATCACGCAGTTGAATCTTTCTTTTGTTAGAGCAGTTTTGAAACACTGTTTCTGTGGAATCTGCCAGCGGACACTTGTAGCGCTTTGAGGGCTATGGTGGAGAAGGAAATATCTTCACATAAAAACTAGAAAGAAGCATTCTCAGAACCATTTATGTGAAGCGTGCGTTCAACTCACAGAGTTGAACCTTCCTTTTGATAGTACAGTTTTGAAACACTCTTTTGAACAATTGCAGGTGAATATTTGGAGGGCTTTGAAGCCTTTGTTGGAAATGGGAATATCTTCACACACAAACTAGCCAGAAGCATTCTCAGAAACTTCTTTGTGATGTGTGCGTTGAACCCAGAGAGATGAACCTTTCCTTTGATAGAGCAGTTTTGAAACGTGCTTTTGTAAGATCGGCAAGCGGATAATTGGCTTCGCTTTGTGTCCTTTGGTGGAAACGGGAATATCTTCTAATAAAAACTAGACAGAAATATTCTCAGAATCTTCTTTGTGATGTGGGCATTCAACTAACACAGTTGAACGTTTCTTTTCACAGAGCAGTTTTGAAACACTCTTTTGGTAGAATCTGCCAGTGGATATTTGGAGCGCTTTGAGGGCTATTGTGCCAATGGAAATATCTTCCCATAGAAACTAGACAGAAGCATTCTCAGAAACTACTTCGTGATGTTTGCCTTCAACTCACAGAGTTGAACATACCTCTTCATAGAGCAGTTTTGAAAACCTCTTTCTGTAGAATCTGCAAGTGGATATTCGGACCACTTTGAGGCCTTCATAGGAAACAGTAATATCTTCACATAAAAACTAGATAGAAGCATTGTCAGAAAGTTCTTTGTGATGTGTGAATTCAACTCACAGAGTTGAACCTTCCTTTAATAGAGCAGTTTTGAAACACTCTTTTTCTAGAATCTGCAAGTAGATATTTGGAGCGCTTTGAGGCCTTCGTTGGAATCCGGAATATCTTCACATAAAACGTAGATAGAGGCATTCTCAGAAACTTTTTTGTGATATGTAGATTCAACTCACAGCGTTGAACCTTTCTTTTGATACAGCGGTTTTCAAAAACTCTTATGTCGAATCTGCAAGTAGACATTTGGAGTGCTTTGAGGGCTGTGGTGCAAAAGGAAATGTCTTCCCATAGAAACTAGACTGAATCATTCTCAACAACTTCCTTGTGACGTTTGCATTCATCTCACAGTGTTGAACATACCTTTTCATAGAGCAGTTTTGAAACACTCTTTTTGTAGAATCTGCAATTGGATATTTGGACTGCGTTGAGGCCTTCACTGGAAACGGGAATATCTACACATAAACACTAGACAGAAGCATTCTGAGAAACTTCTTTGTGATCTGTCCATTCAACTCACAGAGTTGAACCTTCCTTTTTATGGAGCCGTTTTGAAACACTGTTTTTGTAGAATCTGCAAGTGGATATTTGGAGCGCTTTGAAGCCTATGGTAGAGAAAGAAATATCTGCATATCAAAACTAGACAGAAGCATTCCGAGAAACTTCTCTGTGATGTTTGCATTCAACTAGCAGAGTTGAACCTTCCTTTTGATAGGGCAGTTTGGAAACACTCTTTTTGTAGAATCTGCATGTGGATATCTGGAGCGGTTTGAGGCCTACGGTCAAAAAGGAAATATCTTCCTGGGAAAAATAGACGAAAAGCATTCTCAGAAACTGCTTTGTGATATGTGCATTCGACTCACCGAGTTGAAACTTTTTTTTGATACAGCAGTTTTGAAACACTCTGTAGAATCTGAAAGTGGATATTTGGAGCTCTTTGAGGGCTATGGCGGAAAAGAAAATATATTCACATTAAAGTAGACAGCAGCATTCTCAGAAACTTCTTTAGGATGTTTGCAGTAAACTCACAGAGTTGAACCTACCTTTCCGTAGAGCAGTTTTGAAACACTCTGTTTGTGGGATCCGCAAGTGGATATTTGGACCGCTTTGAGACATTTGCTGGAAATGGGAATATCTTCACATATAAACTAGACAGAAGCATTCTCAGAAACTTCTTCGTGATGTGTGCATTGTACTCCCAAATTTGAATCTTCCTTCTCATGGAGCAGTTTTGAAACACTCTGTTTGTGCAATCTACCATTGGAGAATAGGAACGCTTGGATGCCCGTGGTAGAAAAGGAAATATCCTCATATAAAAACTAGACAGAAGGATTCACAGAAAATGCTTTGTGATGTGTGCATTCAAATCATGGAGTTGAATCTTTCTTTTGTTAGAGCAGTTTTGAAACACTGTTTCTGTGGAATCTGCCAGCGGACACTTGGAGCGCTTTGAGGGCTATGGTGGAGAAGGAAATATCTTCACATAAAAACTAGAAAGAAGCATTCTCGGAAACATTTATGTGAAGCGTGCCTTCAACTCACAGAGTTGAACCTTCCTTTTGATAGAACAGTTTTGAAACACTCTTTTGAACAATTGCAGGTGAATCTTTGGAGCGCTTTGAAGCCTTTGTTGGAAATGGGAATATCTTCACACACAAACTAGCCAGAAGCATTCTCAGAAACTTCTTTGTGATGTGTGCGTTGAACCCAGAGAGATGAACCTTTCCTTTGATAGAGCAGTTTTGAAACGTGTTTTTGTAAGATCTGCAAGCGGATAATTGGCTTTGCTTTGTGTCCTTTGGTGGAAACGGGAATATCTTCTAATAAAAACTAGACAGAAATATTCTCAGAATCTTCTTTGTGATGTGGGCATTCAACTAACACAGTTGAACGCTTCTTTTCACAGAGCAGTTTTGAAACACTCTTTTGGTAGAATCTGCCAGTGGATATTTGGAGCGCTTTGAGGGCTATTGTGCCAATGGAAATATCTGCCCTTAAAACTAGACAGAAGCATTCTCAGAAACTACTTCATGATGTTTGCATTCAACACACAGAGTTGAACATACCTCTTCACAGAGCAGTTTTGAAAACCTCTTTCTGTAGAATCTGCAAGTGGATATTCGGACCACTTTGAGGCCTTCATAGGAAACAGTAATATCTTCACATAAAAACTAGATAGAAGCATTGTCAGAAAGTTCTTTGTGATGTGTGAATTCAACTCACAGAGTTGAACCTTCCTTTAATAGAGCAGTTTTGAAACACTCTTCTTCTAGAATCTGCAAGTAGATATTTGGAGCGCTTTGAGGCCTTCGTTGGAAACCGGAATATCTTCACAGAAAAAGTAGATAGAGGCATTCTCAGAAACTTTTTTGTGATATGTTGATTCATCTGACAGCGTTGTACCTTTCTTTTGATAGAGCAGTTTTGAAAAACTCTTTTGTCGAATCTGCAAGTAGACATTTGGAGTGCTTTGAGGGCTGTGGTGCAAAAGGAAATGTCTTCCCATGGAAACTAGACTGAAGCATTCTCAGCAACTTCTTGGTGACGTTTGCATGCATCTCACAGTGTTGAACATACCTTTCCATAGAGTGGTTTTGAAACACTGTTTTTGTAGAATCGGCAAGTGGATATTTGGACTGCTTTGAGGCCTTCATCGGAAACGGGAATATCTTCACATAAACACTAGAGAGAAGCATTCTCAGAAACTTCTTTGTCATCTGTCCATTCAACTCACAGAGGTGAACCTTCCTTTTTATGGAGCAGTTTTGAAACACTGTTTTTGGAGAATCTGCAAGTGGATATTTGGAGCGCTTTGAGGCGTATGGTAGAAAAAGAAATATCTGCCTCTAAAAACCAGACAGAAGCATTCCGAGAAACTTCTTTGTGATGTTTGCATTCAACTAGCAGAGTTGAACCTTCCTTTTGATAGGGCAGTTTGGAAACACTCTTTTTGTAGAATCTGCATGTGGATATCTGGAGCGGTTTGAGGCCTACGGTTAAAAAGGAAATATCTTCCTGGGAAAAATAGACGAAAGCATTCTCAGAAACTTCTTTGTGATATGTGCATTCGACTCTCCGAGTTGAAACTTTTTTTGGATAGAGCAGTTTTGAAACACTCTGTAGAATCTGAAAGTGGATATTTGGAGCTCTTTGAGGGCTATGGCGGAAAAGAAAAGATATTCACATTAAACTAGACAGCAGCATTCTCAGAAACTTCTTTAGGATGTTTGCAGTAAACTCACAGAGTTGAACCTACCTTTCCGTAGAGCAGTTTTGAAACACTCTGTTTGTGGGATCCGCAAGTGGATATTTGGACCGCTTTGAGACCTTTGCTGGAAATGGGAATATCTGCACATATAAACTAGACAGAAGCATTCTCAGAAACTTCTTGGTGATGTGTGCAGTCTCCTCCCGAATTTGAATCTTCCTTTTCATGAAGCAGTTTTCAAACACTCTGTTTGTGCAATCCACAATTGGATAATTGGAACACTTTGATGCCCATGGTAGAAAAGGAAATATCCTCATATAAAAACTAGACAGAAGGATTCACAGAAAATGCTTTGTGATGTGTGCATTCAAATCACGGAGTTGAATCTTTCTTTTGTCAGAGCAGTTTTGAAACACTGTTTCTGTGGAATCTGACTGCGGACACTTGGAGCGCTTTGAGGGCTATGGTGGAGAAGGAAATATCTTCCCATAAAAACTAGAAAGAAGCATTCTCGGAAACATTTATGTGAAGCGTGCCTTCAACTCACAGAGTTGAACCTTCCTTTTGATAGAACAGTTTTGAAACACTCTTTTGAACAATTGCAGGGGAATCTTTGGAGCGCTTTGAAGCCTTTGTTGGAAATGGGAATATCTTCACACACAAACTAGCCAGAAGCATTCTCAGAAACTTCTTTGTGATGTGTGCGTTGAACCCACAGAGATGAACCTTTCCTTTGATGCAGCACTTTTGAAACGTGTTTTTGTAAGATCGGCAAGCGGATAACTGGCTTCGCTTTGTGTCCTTTGGTGGAAACGGGAATATCTTCTAATAAAAACTAGACAGAAATATTCTCAGAATCTCCTTTGTGATGTGGGCATTCAACTAACACAGTTGAACATTTCTTTTCAGAGAGCAGTTTTGAAACACTCTTTTGGTAGAATCTGCCAGTGGATATTTGGAGCGCTTTGAGGGCTGTTGTGCCAATGGAAATATCTGCCCCTAAAATCTAGACAGAAGCATTCTCAGAAACTGCTTTGTGATGTTTGCATTCAACTCACAGAGTTGAACATACCTTTACATAGAGCAGTTTTGAAAACCTCTTTTTGTAGAATCTGCAAGAGGATATTCGGACCACTTTGAGGCCTTCATAGGAAACAGTAATATCTTCACATAAAAACTAGATAGAAGCATTGTCAGAAAGTTCTTTGTGATGTGTGAATTCAACTCACAGAGTTGAACCTTCCTTTAATAGAGCAGTTTTGAAATACTCTTTTTCTAGAATCTGCAACTAGATATGTGGAGCGCTTTGAGGCCTTCTTTGGAAACCGGAATATCTTCACATAAAAAGTAGATAGAGGCATTCTCAGAAACTTTTTTGTGATATGTAGATTCAACTCACAGCGTTGAACCTTTCTTTGGATGGAGTAGTTTTGAAAAACTCTTTTATCGAATCTGCAGGTAGACATTTGGGGTGCTTTGAGGGCTGTGGTGCAAAAGGAAATGTCTTCCCATAGAAACTAGACTGAAAGCATTCTCAGCAACTTCTTTGTGACGTTTGCATTCATCTCACAGTGTTGAACATACCTTTCCATCGAGTACTTTTGAAACACTGTTTTTGTAGAATCTGCAAGTGGATATGTGGACTGCTTTGAGGCCTTCATCGGAAACGGGAATATCTTCACATAAACACTAGAGAGAAGCATTCTCAGAAACTACTTTGTGATCTGTCCATTCAACTCACAGAGTTGAACCTTCCTTTTTATGGAGCAGTTTTG